>NC_000006.12:63822503-64125533 GCF_000001405.40 Homo sapiens | reverse complement strand
GATTACAGGCCAGGCGTGAGCCACCGCGCCCGGCCGACAGTTGACGACTTTTAAACTTCACTCCTTCCACTTCCCTTCATGCCTTACAATTGGGCAAGCTGGTAAGAAAGCCTGGTTAAAAAAAAAAAAGTGCTCCTTTCTTTTACAACGGGGCATAATTCAGACCATGTAAGGCTGACCCATGCATGGGAACCTTCAGTCTAACTCCATCCACTAACCACCAGAAAAGCCAAGCCATTCTCTTTTCCCTGCACTCTCAAGATGTTTTGGACCCACTTGAAAGGCCTGCCTTATCCCCAGAAAGCCTGGTTGTATGCATAATAAACCTGTCATTACTCCTTGAGAGAGAGAGAGAGCGAGAGAGAGAGAGAGAGAGAGACAGAGAGTGTGTGTGTGTGTGTTTGACATCATCAGAAAAAAAATGGGAGTCAGGATCTATCCTGCTTGTGCAGAGTGGCCACAGAAATATATTCCAAACTATATTTAAATTTTGATCAGAACTTTTGTCTTTGTTCAATGGGGGATGACATTAATCACTTTCTGGAAGAAAGGAATTTTTATACGGGACTATCTCATCCTTCAGTGACACAGTCATTTTCATCCACTAGGTCACAAACCCAAATACTACTCAGGACTGAGGTTAAATCAGCTTTATCGCTCTTTGCACATCTTCTTCTCTCATTTCCTCTGTCCTCACTTCTTCCAACTCCCTTTTTGATAATGTCATGCTGACTTGAATTTCTGATTATGTTTGATTATTTGAAGAGTTTTATTTATATGATACAATGATTAGGGTTCTTCCAACATACCAGTAATCAAGAAATTTGCTTCATTGATTCAGCTTCTAGAAATACCTAACACACGAAAATTTTTGGCCATGCTCTACAACAAGCTGCTGAAATAATTCATAAATCATGGTCTAGGGGGAGCCTAGAATATTTTCAAAATTATATATGGCATAAACATTTGTCTTCCACTGAACTGCAGTAACTCCAACATCAAATGTTGTGTTAAAATTCCGGCCTGTAGAAATGATCACTCAGTCAACAAATATTTGGTTCACATCCCACAGAGGTCAGATCCATATGTTACACTGGATGCTTAGAGCAATATATTTAACACTTCTCAGGGAAAACTTACTTTTCATTTGTTTCTAGCCAGCTTTCCAAAACTTTCCCCTAGAGAGAAGATAAAGTAGATGAGAGTAGGAGTATCCAAGCATAAAGAAAAGGCCAGAACGTGGAGCAGAGAGAGTAAGAAGAATCTCATATTATCAGTATGTTTCTTGTACTTACTTTGAGTAAAAATAAAAACCAGTGAAATATTTCTAACTTGCCAAAACAAAGTGAATCTTTGCTCCCGGCTACAGCTTTCAAATGAAAATAAGACACTACAAGAATCCTTGCTTTAAACATCTTTTACAGCAGTACACTTTTCCCTGCCTTTTCTTTATATTGTTCCGTGGGGCTTGCTATTTTATACATCATTTTTATTTTCTTTAAGCCAGCAAAATCCTGGTTTGGATGCTTCGCCTTCCAGTGACCCAGCTGCCTTATCATTTTATCTAATAGTTGTAAAATTAGAAAGCTCTGACAAATCCCTTATGGATGTACTGAGCCCAAGGAAAGAATTTTCACTGGAGCCTGGAAATGGGAACTCTGCAAAATTTTGCTGCTGGTAACTTTTAAACCAAAGGCACAATCTTTGAATGGGGATATTGAGACTAAAATAACTCTGTAATGTAATTGTATCAATTTTAATTTTGTATTTATATCTCGTTGTTTGTTTCTGCCAGGCCCTAAAGGGGACATTTCTGGCTGCCATCTCACCCTGTTTCCCAGTATATTTCCCTGAACAGAACTCCATAGAATTTATGACCCAATTTTTGCCTTTTGATTTAATCTGAAAAATATCCAACTCATACCAAGTACAGAGCTGGCAGTTAGGAACGATAAAGCTGTCTTTCTCCCAAACCAAGATTGCTAAAAGGTGCAGATCAAGGCTGTGTCTCACACCTCCTGTGCTGCAGTCTTTCTTATGCACAAATAGATTTGCTTTTATTTTCCGGCGTTCATTTACCCATGCTTGTTTAGAGAAATTAAACTACCTAGCCAAAATTCTTCAAAAATATGTCAACTAAAAGAATCAATTTAAGAAATTTGCTCCCAGATGAAAATTTGACCTCATACAGGAAAATTAATAATATAAAATGAGAGATAACATAGTATTTTTAATATAATATTAGTAACTATATGAGGCCTTGTTTTCTCTATTTAAAAAATGCTTTGTCTTGAAGGTTAAATGCTATGCTCGAATGGAATATGCATATGTTGACTGTGGCCATGTATTTGCCTCCTAACTGTTCAGGATAACAAACAAAAATCTTGGCAAGAAACGATGCTGGTTTGCATCAGAGCTCAGATATCTCTTCAGCTTCAAAAAGCATATGCTACCAGGTTCTGTGTCTTTATAAACACACCCTATTACTGTTATTAGACTGTAAATTCTTTAAAACAATAGTTTCATGATATTGTAACTCTTTGTACCCCCACAATACTTACAATATACAAGGTATTCAATAAATATTCACTGATAACACTGAAAATTCAAAAAAAAAATGCTTTGTAAGCATTTCTGTTATTTATCCTGGGTCATTTATTATTATTAACGATTTCTAAATTACTTTTTGCATCATAAATCTAATGTTTTAAAGGAATATTTTTAAAGATCCCAATAATGCAACTATATTTGCATAGTCTACGAAGAATTAATCTTTACAGTATCTTAAATATTCTGCTAATTTATTTGTTTGTTTAGCAGTGATAAGGTACAAGTTCTCAAATTCTTTAAAATATTATTTCATTTTTTTAACATATTAATGAGATAAATGCTGTTAATATTCCTTGTTAGAAATAAGAAAATCAAGAATCAGATTGGTGAAGCATCTTATCAAAGTCACACAACTAGTAAATGGAGACAAGGGGATAAAAACTCAGGCAGTCTGGCTCTAGGCTCCATAGTCTTAACCACTCCCCAGTACTCTTTCTTAATACCATAAAATGTTTATTCGTATTAGGTATATTTATTCACATCAGTGAATAGTAGCCTTAGAAAAATCTTTATGGGTATATTTCCTTAGAAATCTGGGGCTAGAAAGTATATCTAATGAGTTACTCTACTAATTCATATCCACAAGCAATAAAAAGGCAGTATTCTTCCAGGGAAGATTTCATGCTATGCTATGAAAGTGGTTCTTATATATTTAATAGCAATTTAATACTTAAAATGTATTTTCCAATCTCAGTTTGGTGGCAACAATTCTACAATTCATTTTTATTTACTAATTTTTCACTATTAGATCCTAAATCTGTAGGTAAATTAAATGCACTTGAAGTGCTACTTCAAGCAAGGTTAAACTGTGCATGTTTGCAGCATTTGGAAAACAGCTAATATATTTATTAAATAACTAAAAAAAGGTGCTACCCCCAAAATAAGGGTAAATCACACATTATCATTACTAAATATAATGCTAATAGTAATAAAACAAAACAGATGGAAATGTTCTTAATATTTCAAATTAAAAAATAAAAGCATTGGTTACTGACTAGCCTTGAGTACCAAACAAAAACAGGTGTATTGACTAAGCCCTGTCTATAGATGAGCTCCATGATGGGTACTGGGATATCAGCCCTTTATTAGTCCATAATGCTGCAAAGTAGAAAAAGGCATAAAGATGGCAATTCAGGCAAGAAAAATGGTGTCACACCTAATAGAAACTGGTACTTTAAGAAGGGTAATTTCTTGAAATTGGTTTTGGATGAGTCAAATTTAAGCTAGGTCATAAAATTAGAAAATTGCAGAAGATTTTAAGAGATAGGAGACTATAGCTCAAGCAAGTCCTCAACATTAGAGAGATAAATTTAAGTCTTCTGTATAGACAAGTGAATGGAAACTAAGAAAGTGGATTAACTATATTAAGGGTAATTTAATTTCTTTACCATTAGGCCACAAGATGATGTTAAACATAACGGTTATGAGTCCCAGCTTTTAAATTAGACAGCTGTTAGCTCCGCCACATATTAGCCATATCAATCTAGGCAAATCAATTACTAAACCTTTCTAAGTCCTAATCTTCTAATCTGTAAAATGGAAATAATATGTATATCACTGTGGTCAGCAGAATCCTGAAATACTTCTACAAATTTCTGCTCCCTGGAACTCCTGTTCCACATAATTATCTCCTTTTGAATGTGGGTTAACCTATGAATGTAGTAAGATGGTTATTCCTTGATTAGGTTAAGTTATGTGGCAAAAGATCATGGCCTGCTCATCCGCATGATTATGCTAATTTTCATCAGACTGGGTCATAGTTGACTGGAGGGAGAAGGAGGAGAGATGCATTCCTGCTGGCCTGAAGGAGAGCAAACATCCATAGATGTTGTAAATTGTCTATGGGGGAGGGGGGCACATGGCAAAGAACTGCAGGTGACCTCTAGGAACTGAGAGTGGTCCCTAGCTGACAGTCATCAAAACAAAAAACAAGCAAGCAAATAAACAAAGACTTCTCTCCTACAAATGCAAGGAAATGAATTTGCCAATAATCAGTGAGCTTGGAAGTAGATTGTGAGTCTCCAACCCACACCTTGATTTCATCCCAGTGAAACCTAGATAATGGGCCTAGAAAATGGAAACTGTGAAAGAATAAATTTGTGTCATTTTAAGTCACTAAGTCTATGGTAATTTGTTATGCAGCAACAGAAAACTAATGTACTCACAAACTTATATAACTAAATATAATAATAATTAAAAACTACCTATAATAGTATGTTCCTATAAGCACCATCCCATAACTGGACTTTGGTAGCATTGTTAGATATCCTCCTGACTCCCAGTCGATTTCTAGATGTGAAAATAACAATTTATATTCAGGGGCTTAAAGAAACCTATCAGGAAGCCATAATTCAATGACATTCATATCTCAAATCTAAAGAATTTTGATCTGTTACCTTTTTCTTTTCTATTTGATTTCATTAAAATTTAACTACAGGAAGATTTTAGAAAGTAGTTTGAATAGGCCATCATTAGCAAGATTTGTATTATCATTGTTTTGGTTGTCATTTGCTTTGTCATCTAAAAAGATATAAGTTTTTCTTTTTTTTTTTTTTTTTTTTTTTTTAAGAGATGGAGTCTCGCTCTGTCACCCAGGCTGGAGTGCAGTGGTGCGATCTCCTCTCACTGCAAGCTCCGCCTCCTGGGTTCACGCCATTCTCTCGCCTCAGCCTCCCGAGTAGCTGGGACTACAGGGGCCCGCCACCATGCCTGGCTAATTTTTTGTAATTTTTTTTTTTTTAGTAGAGACAGGGTTTCACCGTGCTAGCCAGGATGGTCTCGATCTCCTGACCTCGTGATCTGCCCACCTTGGCCTCCCAAAGTGCTGGGATTACAGGTGTAAGCCACCACGCCTGGCCAAAAGATATACGTTTTTCTAAAATGACTTAAAAAAACACAATAATATGGTAAATTTGTTTAGGTCCAAATGTAATGTTAAAACACTAATAAGTTTAATATTGTGTAATTTTTTTGGAAACTAAGTTCAAAGTAAATTTAAACATAAAAAAGTTAATCATGGAAAAAGAACTGATTTTTTAAGGATCCAAAAAGTAGGGCTAAGAAAATGCCATGGAAAATAAGGTGCACTTTAATCTCTCCAGGATAGTTGTCCTGTGCATCTTCACACACCTCTGTGATTTGCGTCTGTGCCTTCTACGTGAAAAGCCCTTTATAAGCAATTTCACCTCTGTGCAATCTCTTCTCTTACAAATAAAAAAGTTGAATTAAAATCTCTGTCTATATCCTTAGCTATATTAAGTTTTGCTACACAATTTCTTCAGAGAAAGTATTTTTTTAAAATTACCCATTACTGGAAATGGGTATGAACTCACTAAATGTTTATTAAACACAACTGAATTGATAAAACCTTACTCACAAATTTAACAGGTTTAAATATTTCTTTGGCAAATGAAGTCAAATGTGAACTTATTGTATTATCTAAATATCCTTCTATTAATATCTTCTAGCAAATTGAATATAGTCTTGATAGCATTTTTGTAGGTAACTTTTAGTGATTATACTTATGCTGTATCAAAGCGGCCATTAGGAAGTTGCATGAAATTCAATCAAGTGGTATACGTATCGTAAGCCAAAATTATTTCAAATGTGTTGATAAAGTTTTCTGGTTAAACTAATTATTTTAATATTATGTAAAAATACTCAATAAAATGGTTATTTCAGTGAAAATGGTCTTTAAATTAGATTTGGCATTATATAAATGAGAAACCCGTCACTGAACAGTTTCACATTTCTACTATATCTGAAGATCTGAATCAAATGATTATGGAAACCAGTTCAGTAACATAAAAGTGAACTCTATCACTCAAATTAAAAAACAAAATTTAATTTACAGAATGCACATGATATAATTACCAGTATTTATTTTTTATCTTTTTGTTAGTAGTCATTCTAACTGGAGAAAAATGATATCTCATTGTGATTTTAATTTGCATTTCCCTGATTAGTGATGTTGAACATTTTTTCAGATACATGTTGGCTATTCCTATGTCTTTTCAGAAATGTCTATTCAGATCATTTGCCCATTTTAAAATTAGATTATTATTATCTGTTTTTCTTTTTGTTTGCTGTTGAGTTTTTTTGAGTTTCTTGTAGATTCTGGATAATTACCCCTTGTCAGATAAATAACTTGCAAATATTTTCTCTCCTTCTACAGATTGTCTCTTCATTCTGTTGATTTTTCCTTTGTCACACAGGCACTTTTTAGTTTGATATAATCCTATTTGTCTATTTTTGCTTTTGTTGCCTGTGCTTTTGAGCTATTCTCCATTAAAATCTTTGCCCAAACAAATGTTCTGAAGTGTTTAACTTATTTTAATAGTAGTTTAATAGCTTTGGGTCTGACATATAATTATTTCATCCATTTTGAGTTCAGTTTTGTATATGGTGAGAGATAGGGATCTAGTTTCATTTTTCTGGATATGGATACCTAGTTTTCCCAGCACCATTTGTTGAAGAGCCTGTCCTTTCCCCAATTTATATTCTTGGAGCTGCTGTCAAAAATCAGCCAGCTGTAAATGCATGGATTTATTTCTGCATTTTATATTCTATACTATTGACCTATGTGTCTGTTTTTATGTCAATGCCATGTTGTTTTGGTTACTATAGCTCTGTAGTATATTTTGAGGTCAAATCATGTGATGCCTCCAGCTTTGTTTTATGCACAGAATTGCTCTATTCAAGATGGCTTGTGGCTTTATACAAATTTTCAGCATAGTTTTATCTATTTCTGTGAAGAATGTCATTTGTATTTTGATAGAGATTGCATGTAATCTGTAGGTCACCTGGGGAAATGCAGTCATTTTAACAATATTTATTATTCTAATCCATGAACATGGAATAGCCTTCCATCTCTTTGTGTCCCCTTCCATTTTTTTTCATCAGTGTTTTATAGTTTTCATTGCAGAGATCTTTCACTTTCTTGCTTAAATTTGGTCTTAGGTATTTTTATAGCTATTGTAAATTGCTTTCTTGAAATGTTTTCAGCTAATTCATTATCAGTATACAGAAATGCTACTTATTTTTGTATGTTGATTGTGTATCCCAAAACTTTACTGCATTTATCATTGTCAGTTCTAAGAGGTTTTGGTGAAGTTTTTAGATTTCTTTAAATATATAAGACTATGTTATCTGCAAACAGGGACAATCTAACTTCCTTCTTTCCAATTTGTATACCCTTTATTTTTTTCTCTTGTGCAATTGCTCTGGCTAGGACCTCTAGTACTATGTTGAGTAAGAATTTTTTTTTTACTATTCATTCTTGGTAGGTTGTATCTAGGATTTTTTTCATTTTTCTAGGGTATCCAATTTGTTGGCATATAATTGTTTATAATAGTCTCCTGTAATTGTTCTTCTAATTTATCTCACATTATTGTAATGTATTTTTTCATTTCTGATTTTAGTTAGTTGAATATTCTCTTTTTTCTTAATTAGTCCAGCTAAAGCTTTCTTAATTTTGTTGATGTTTTTAAAAAACCAACTCTTAGTTTCATTGATCTTTTTGTTGTTCATCTAGTTTCTATTTCCTTCATTTCTGCTCTGGTCTTTGTTATTTCCTTCTACTAATTGGGGGGGGGGTTGTTCCTCTCTTTCTAGTTCCTTGAGGTACAAAGTTATGATATTTTAGATCTGCCACATATTTGTGAATTTTCTAGTTTTTCCTCTGTAATTGATTTCCAGTTTTATAACACTGTGATCAGAAAATACACTTCTTAAGTTTGTTAAGACTTTTTTTGTAGCCTAAAATACAATCTATGCTGGAGAATGTTCTGCATGTGCTTGAGGAAGGTGTGCTTTGTTCAACTGTTGTATGCAATATTCAGTATATCTCTATTAGGTTCAGTTGGTCTAAATTGTAATTCAATTGTGACTTTTCCTTATTGATTTTCTGTTGGGATAACCTATCCAATGCTGAAAGTGAGGTATTAAATTTTATTCTATTATTTTTATATTACTGTCTGTCTCTTCCCTCAGATCTTTTGCTTTATATATTTATGTGTTCTGATGTTTAGTACTTATATATTTACAACTGGCATATCTTCTTAATAAAGTGACCCCTTTATCATTATACAATGACCTTCTTTGTCTCTCTTTAGTTTTTGACTTAAAAACTATTTTGTCTGATATAAGTATAAACACCTCTGCTCTTACTTTCCGTTTACATTGAATGTTTTTATTCATCTCTGCACTTTCAGTCTATGTTGTCTTTAAAACTTAATTTGCTCTCTCAGTCCTTAAAGACATTTTATCTTTCAGTCCTTCAAACTGAAGTGAGTAGGGAGCATATATTTGAGTGTTTTCTTCTTACCCATTTATCTACTCTATGTCTTTTGATTGGAGAATTTAACCTATTTACATTCAAGGTAATTATTGATTGGTAATAACTTACTATTGCCATTTTGTTAATACCTTGTCAACCCTTTGTTCCTTTCTGTCTCTTTGTGATTTGATGATGTTCTACAGTATTATGCTATGATTCTTTTCTCATTTTATGTATCTACTATAGGATAAAATATTGACTGGCAGGTTTTATTTTTCTTTCAGTATTTTAAATCTCCCCATTCTTTCCTGGACTACGAAGTTCTTCCTGAGAAATCCACTGATAGCCATATAGGGGTTTTCTTATATGTTAAAAAGTTCTTTCCTTTTCTGTTGCTTTCAAAATTCTTTTTGTTTTTGACTTGAGAGACTTTTGGACGTCTTCAAATGACCTGTCTTCAGGTCCACAGAAGTCAAGTCTTTCTTCTGCTTGATTTTGTCTGCTGTTGATGCTCTCCATTGCAGTTTTTATTTCATTAATTGAATTCTGTATTACCTGAATTTCTCTTTGGTTCTTTTTTGTGATATCTCTTTATTGAACTTCTCATTTTTTTCATGTATTATTTTTCCGATTTTGTTGGGTTAGCTACCTATGTTTTCTTGTAGCTCACTAAGCTTTCTTAAAGAGCTTATTAGGTTGGTGCCAAAGTAATTGTGGGTTTTGCCATTGCTTTTAATGGTAATTACTTTGGCACCAACCTAATATTTTGAATTTATTGTTAGGAAATTCATAGATCTCCACTTTGGGAAGTCTGTTACTAGAATATTACGGTGTGTGTGTTCTATTTTGTGATATCATGTTTCTTTGATTTTTATTTATCATCTTGAGTTAATGTTTGCACATTTAATAGAACAGTCTTCTTCAAGACTTTTTGCACTGGTTTAAGTGGGTAAAGACCTTTGCCTATGGGTGGATGTGAGGACACCAGCTGGGTAGGGTCAGGTGGTTCTGGCTAGGTGAGGGTGTCGTTGTAAAGACTCTATGCAGTTCCATCAGCTGAGATCAAGGCTGGCAAAGATTGCAGGGATCCTCAGCTGCTAAAACTATGAGTATCCACAGTAGTGGCAAGGGCTGTTGGAGTCTTTAGTGGTGAAGGCTGCTGGAGTCCTCCTTATCTCTTTTTCTCTCATGGGGAAAATCATGGCCAAAAGGATCCTTCTTGGTGCCAGGTCCAGCTTATGAGCATGCTCACAGTGGTGATGGCAGTGGTGTTTGGTGTGTGGCGCCTGGGTAGTGAGCACAGAGTTGGGATTTGGAGCACAAGTGACACACAATGACTACAGTTCCAGGGTTCAGGGCAATGGTGGCATTCAGACCTCTCTCCAACCCCACCCCCGAACTGCAGCATTGGTGCATGAAGCACAGGTGCTTAAAGAGAAGCCTGAAATCCAGGATCTGGGACATACTCATGTGCAGAGCAACCACTGTTCCTGGGTCTGGGCCATAGATGTACCTTCTACAGAGGTAGCTTCAGTGTCCATGGTGTAGGCACTCCTGGAGCAGCCATAGCGCCAAGGTCTAGAGCTTGGGCATGCATAAAGTGACTGCAAGTCTGAGTTCCAGGGCACAGACTACCTCATTTTGGCAGTGGCTCCAATGATCAAGGCACAGAGTGGCCGCAGCTCCAGGGTCAGGGGCATGTATGGGGCTGCAGGGGAGCTGGGGATCTAGGTCCCAGGGAAGCACATCTGTAGCTTCTTGTTGGGTTGGGCGAGGGGAAGCAGCATCTCCCTCCCCTGGAGATCTTCAGCACTATAGCAGCTCTTGGTTACGTCAGTGGCAAAAGCTGCCAGAGTTCTCTGTGGAACAGGCACTGGGGTCCATGCCTACAAACACTAAGGAGACCTTGCTGTGAAATCTATGGAAAATCCACACCTACTATGGTGGCTGTTGACAGCCCTGTGACTAAGACTGCCAGAATTCTCTGCAGAGTAAGCCACTAGAAAGCAAGGTGGCACTCACTGCATGGCTGACAGTGATAGCCCCTTTCCCTTATCTTCATACCTAGCTATCTCTAGATGTTTCTGGCACATCAATCACCCAAGCAATCCTCTCTATGCGATTATTTAGTGTTTTTGCCCTATTGTGCTGCTATAGGTTCTTGATGAGACTCCTGAGCTCTTCCTAGGGCTATTTTTGTTCATGGATAGCTGTCTAATTGTTATTTAACAGGATGAAGCCTGGAGTCTTCTACTCTACCACCTTGCAGATATCAGCCCTTTAGGTGGTATATTTTTGAGTTTAGAAAGGCATTATGAAGAATAAAGCTAATAAAATAAACAATAAACACCAGAAATAAAATTTTAAAATAAAAAGTATAATGGATAGCAAATAATAGAAGACAAAAATACCAGGGAATATTTCAATAATTATAACTTCTTTAGTAAATTCCAGAATTTTGCACCTTATATATCAATGTTTTTTCAAATCTAGCTCATAATATTGTCTGGAGAAATTTTTTTCAATCTATTTACCACTTTTTCCTCATAGCTTTCATGGTTTAAATCAAGTAGAACAAAGGCTGGTAAGTTTTTTTCTGTAAAGGGCCAGGTAGTAAATTATTTTAGGTTTAGCAGGTCATATAGTCTGACACAACCAGTCAATTCTGCCAGTGTACTGTGAAAGCAGCCATAGAAAATATGTAAATGAATGGGCATAGTTCCAATAAAATTTTACTTACAAAAACTGAAAGCATGCTGGATTTAACCTGCTTGCCAACTCGTGATGTAGACTGATGTTAGCAACTTTCGTAGCTGTTTTAAAACAGGACAGTAAGAAACACTCTTCACAGTTACTAGTTGAAATATAAAAGAATATAGCCATTATAACATTTAAAATACGGTACCAAAATTATATGTGATGTATCTCTAGATGCTTCCCATGGTAAAGTTTATAATTAAAACTAACTCCATTCAGAAAAAGAGAACAGAACTGCCAATTCCTTACCCTCTAGTCCTGCCGTAACACAGGCTGATCTAGAAACTTTTTACACAATAGAGGGTTCTATCTTGCTAAAATGCTGTCAAGGAATTTTTGCTCCCTTCTTTCTTATTCTATAAGTGCAAAAGTCATATCTGTTATTTACGGAGTAAATACTGTAAACTAGAGATTGTTCCTTGTACTTTAGAGACAAATATAGTTATTTAATTCTCACAACCTAATGAGACAGGTAATGTGCTTCTCATTTTACATACAAGTGAACTGAAGCTAAAAAGATTACATAATATTCAACCACAGCTATCATATAACAGATCTGAGATTCAAACGCCAGTATCACTGTTCAAAGCCTATGTTATAGTACTGCAGTGATTAAATGTGAAAACATTCTTAAAACTAAATTTTAATTTGTTCCCAATTTGGAACAAATAAAAGACATTTACTGTTATAAAAGTTTATAACTTAGTATAACTCTAATTATAATTACATTTACAGGTTGAAAAATAGTTTCAAATGGACTTTGTATATCATATTACAGTCTGCATTTTGTCTATGATAAACTTTTTGTTTATCAACTGGTAACGGCAAAACTAGTTTTCAGTTTTCAATCAACATAACCTTAAGGAACAGATAGAATGAAAATTTAATTTATAATTACAGAACTCTACATTGTTGTAATTGCATTTTCATTTTCACGATGCCAGTGCAGTGTCTCCTGACTACAATCTCTGGGGGATAGATGATATTAATGCAACTCCCCCTGGGACCTCATTCACAGTAACATTTGTAACCAAAAAACTACTAAAAAGTGGAGAATCAAATTTCCTGAAGATATATATAGAGAGATATATAGATATTATAGATATATATTATTCTAGATATATATCTATTCTAGATATATAGAAGATATATATAATAAAAATTAAGTAAATTTTTATTCTTTAATTCATAGAAAATAAAAATTTACTTAATATGTCAAAAACCATTTGAATGTGAAAAGAACTTGTTTCATGTGATAGAAAAGACTAGTGTATAAAAAGCCACCAATTCCAGAACTGGTTGTCAATGTATAATGTTGTGGTTAGGAGGATTAAATGGTAAGTATTTGAGATGGTGGGTATGTTAACTAACTTGATTTAATAATTTCACATTGTGTGTGTATATATTTTATATATACTATAATGTCACTTTGTACTCCATAAACATATACCTTATAATTTGTCAATATACAGTTAAAAAATAAAAAATACATATATACAAACTCAGTCTGGTGTTGAACGTCCACCACCCAGTCGCTGCTTTGGGAAAAATCAATTAAACTTCTTGACCAACAGCTTTCTTGGCTGTGAAAAAAATGCATGGAGTCCAGGTATGGCATAGCTATAAAATTTTGTGATTCTATCACTGAGAAAATGATTATTAAAATCCCCATATCTAAGAATTTGGATTAAACTCTTTAAAACAACATATTAGAGGGTTATATAATTTGCCTTCTCTCATTCAACATTTTCATTAGTAATTTGGATTAAGATATTATCTGTTTATCATATTTTCAGGTGAAATAAAGCCTGAAAGAAAAGTAATGTAAGGGATGACAAAATCAAAGCCAAAAAATTTTAACCAGCTGCATGGAATAACAGAGCAACTCAATTAAAATTAAATATATAATAGGGATAAATATCTGTCCTTATGAGCAGACACTAATGGCTCAAGTACACCTGGGATTTTATATAACATTAGCCAATGGCAGTATGTGGCTATGAGAATGTATTTGGTATTTATGCTTCCATAATATATTTCTTTCTAATATATTTAAATTTTCATTCTTCTCTACCATTTCACAGGACTTTCAACCAGAATTTAAATCTGGATAAGCCTGGGTATCTGTCATCTCCATGTCATCACCCAGGCTTCTGATTACTATTTAAAAATAAAGTCATCTAGCTGGGAAGATTGGTACTACTATAAATTCATGGCCACCACTTTACACTGAAACTTCCACACAGCTCATAAATATTATGTCATTTTTCTCAGCCTTCTCTCCCTATCTCCACAATGACTATTTTCAATCTTTTCCACATTTTCAAACCTCAGACATTCACTATTACCTTCGGTCTCAATTTGTGTCCTACTTTTCTGAGAAAAAAAATTGTTGCCCTCAGATGGCAACTTTCAAAACTTTCAGATCATCACCCATTTGCTTTTTATCCGCACTGCCATGGAGACAATTTCTAAACTACTAATTAAGGCCAATTCTTCCATCCGTGCTCGACTCCTATAGCCTCTTTTTCTCCTATGGTGGGTGCCTATCATCTTTATAATACCTTCTCTGTATTTTAGAAAATATCTTGCTATGAGATTTGCCTCTACAACATAACCCCTGCCTTCTAAGGCAGACATAAACATATGACAGAGTCTCTGCCAATGAGGTACAACTATTTTATTCAGCTTAAACTAGTAGAGTGAATTTTACTTTTTGTAATTAAGACCCTAAGTAACTCAGATCATATTCCCCCTGTAACAGAAACTATGAAATGTTCACTCTCATTCCTGGATCTACAACTTCTTTTGTTCTACTAGGCCCTTGTGACAGCATTTAAACTCCTCTAGTCCTTCCCATTCAATAAAATTCCTCCAAAAATCTACTACTGTGCAGCTACTGCCCTATGATTCTTCTCCTTTTTTCAAATATTAATTTATAGGTTCTAATTCAGTACTGCCAATTCCTTACTCCCTAGCCCTGCTGTAACACAGGCTGATCTAGAAACTTTACACAACTGAGGGTTCTTTCTTCCAAAATACTGTCTCCTTTCAGCTTTTCTAATGCCATACTTCCTTATGGTGCCTGCCTCTCTGTCTGCCTTTTTTAGACTCCTTTGCTATATCCTCTCACTTTTTACAGTTCCTTAGGTCCTAATATCAAACCTCATTTTCTTCTTTATCTTCCCATATTCTCTAAAGAAATCTCTCACACCTAAAATAAAAATGTGGCATATATACATATATAAAATAAATCTCTCCCATACCCATTGCTCAGCTTCAATTAATAAAATTCCCTTAATTCTAAAATGTGCATCTTCAGAATAGATCATGCCTGTAAACTTCAGATCCATATAGCCATAGCCAACAAACACCATACAGGCATCTTCACTCTGATGTCTTTTTAGATATCAAAGTTAATATTCAAAACTGATCTTCTGATCTACAAACACACACACACAGAGTCATCCACCAACATTTTTTATAACATGGTATATCCATCCCCTCAGTGCCTAATGCGAGAAATCTGAGTATCATTAAAGGTCAATGTGGAGTAATCTGAGAGTATGTCTAAGTTATACATACATACATATACATATATAAAATATTCTACTTCATTCTTTACCCCAATGTCTATATTATTTATGTGAAGTGGAGTGTAGAAAGAGGGAGTAAGAAAGCCTTTAAATTTCCTCCATGCTTACTTTTTAAAAAAAAAGATTCTTTAGATTCTATGTGAACAAAATATCGTTAATCACCAGGTTCATACCGTGTAGCACTTTACAATGTATTTTTATCCTTAATCCAACAGAAGCCTATATTCTGTTATAGAAAAAAAGACAGGGAGCCTACCAGCCAAACAATGTGTTTGCAATCTCTAGCTGTGATTTCTAAGAGGTTTCTTTGGAAGCACTCTTCTATCCCATTAGTTTTTAATAGAAGAGAGAAAATTGGTTTACAATATGAACTTTCAAACTTTCCCTTATTTTCATACCCATTGCTTGCCCCACACTTGAACCCAACAACTTCCCATATATTCAAGTGTTTTTGTACTCATGGTTCTTAGGCAAAATCAAAGAGTTTTATTGAATGAGACTGTGCTGTCATATGGGCTACAGATAAAAAGACCAGGCATGTAAGTGGTAGCAATTCATGGACTTTCTAATGTACTTTTCCCATTGAACTGTACTACTGAACCTTTTTAGGTTTATATCTGAATTTTGACCTTCATCTGTCCAAGTTCTCCTTGCATGTGAGGCATTTCAAATAGTGAAATAGTATACTCATGTGGTTATAGTCATAATCCCTTACAGTTGGTAGTCATTTATTCATTAACTTTTTTAGAGTTTGTGATTATTTCCAGTGCATGAGATAACTTGATAATTATATCAGTGGCATTGCATTTGTGATCTCAAAATAGATATAGCAAACTAAAAATTATTTTATATTACATAGAAATATAATTATTTAAAATGCCTTTCCACAGGTTTCAAAGAAATGAAAGAAATAGAACGGACAGATGAATAGGATTAAGGATGGAATAATGAAGAAAATAGGAAGGTTGAAGAAAGTAAAAAACTTAGTGTGATGCTTTGTGTAAAGTATTAGTAGAGTGAGGAAAAACAAAAATGTTTAAAAACCTATTATATGCATAAAATTGGGAGGAAAGATGTAATAATGATAGAGTAATAATTAATGTTTACAGAGTTAGTTACTTCATATTGCAAAATGGTAAAATACAAAAATACAGTTTATTATCCAAACACATAAGGCAGCTGATGTAAATGTTCTACTGAATGCAATAGCAGTAATATACAGAGGAAGGTCTCTGAAGTTATAGCATCTAAGTTGACATTTCCTAGCAACATGTTCTTGAGAGTGTTACGTGACCTTTACTTGTTCCTGAGCATGTTACTTGACCTTTCCAGGTGCCTGATTTCTCCTTTGTAAAAGGGGGTAACCATAGAGTTGTATTTAAGGTCAAAATACATTATCCAAGTAAAAATCATATTTAGCTCTCACCAAATGAGAGTTCAAAACATGTTAGACAATATCATTGTTAGAGTAATGTGGAAGGAATATTATGGGGATGATGGGGTCCAATAACAGACAAAGTCTTCAAGGCAACAGCGTTAGTGAGGAGGAGAGATCGGGTGGAAAGTGGGACCATGGCAGTCAGGAATAGAACCTCTGTGTGGGAGTCATTCTTCCATAACCTTTTCAGAGTCAGGTGACATTTTAAGATTCTCAATTTTAGAATTAATAAGCAGCAGAATTAGTCTTCAAAGGCAAGTGTTTCTAACTGCAACATTCAGAAAATTGCTTTCCTTTTACGGAGGCTTAAAGATTCAGCTATCTTCTCAAAAAAAAAAAAAAAAAAAAGCAGTAGTGGACTTCTGATTTCCAGTCCATTATGTAAGGAGCTTGGAAGTCACCATTCTGTCATAACAAGCAAAAAGCTGAACAATCTAAAAAAACAAAAACTTTAATGAGCTCCATCAGAGAAGTAATGTCACAAGGCAAACAACAGCCCTCAACATTGGAAAAACAGCCAGCTGAATACAGAGAATTATAATTTATTGGAGCAGAAATCTCCGTGAGAACCAGTCCCAGGGTACAAAAATGTGAACTGTAATTGACAAGTTGCTGGAAGCTGGGTGTAGACAAGTCTGAGAAAATTCCAAGGGGACACAAACATAGGAGGGTCCTCACACTTTTTTGAGTTTCCCCTCAGTAACCCTATCAGGTCCTCAAAATCAATGTCAGAGAAAAATTCCTTCATGCTTCCAGCAAGAGGAAAAGCAAAGAGTCATTTTGAAATATGACAGAGCATTCTGTTCTTCTCAACAAGATCTACCCTCAAGAGAAACTGTTTTATCAGAACCTAACCTTCTGGGATTTTATCAGAGCCTAAACTACCTCAGGAAAGGGAAATACACAGCTCCTGCCCACTCCAACTATCCTTTCCCACCTAAGAGTAGGGAAAGGGAATTAAGAAGTACTGGTAAGTTCCTAGTCTGAGGACACCGGCTATCCAAAAGATTGAGGCCTAATCATAGCTATAGAACTCTTCCCCTCACCCTACACCTTACCACTACATTACTAAAGGCCTATTTACAGCAGTTCCTTTTACCCAATACGTTATGACTACCTTTCAACAAAAAAATATGAGGAATACTAGGAGGCAAAAGACACTGTGATGGTTAATACTGAGTGTCAACTTGATTGGATTTAAGGATACAAAGTATTGATCCTGGGTGTGTCTGTGAAGGTGCTGCCAAAGGAGATTAACATTTGAGTCAGTGGGCTGAGGAGAGCAGATCCACCCTTTATCTGGTGGGCACAATCTAATCAGCTGCCAGCACATATAAGGTAGGCAGAAAAATGTGAGAAAGAGACTGGCCTAGCCTCCCAGCTACATCTTTCTTCCATGCTGGATGCTTCCTGCCCTCAAACATCAGACTCCAGGTTCTTCAGTTTTGGGACTTGGACTGGCTCTCCTTGCTCCTCAGCTTGCACATAGGCTACTGTGGGACCTTGTGATCATTAAGTTAATACTTTATAAACTCCCCTTTATATATATATATATATATATATATATATAAATATATATATATACACACACACACATATATATATATATATCTCCTACTAGTTCTGTTCCTCTAGAGAATCCAACTCATACACTGTTTGA
Organism: Homo sapiens; assembly: GCF_000001405.40. Classification (NCBI taxonomy): domain Eukaryota; kingdom Metazoa; phylum Chordata; class Mammalia; order Primates; family Hominidae; genus Homo; species Homo sapiens. The sequence continues at coordinate 64,107,195 of NC_000006.12, read as the reverse complement.
AGGGACTGTACAAACATCAGAACCAGAGTCAGATATAACAGGAATGTTGAAATCATCAGGTCAGGAATTTTAAAAAACTATGATTAATATGCTGAAGGCTTCAGTGGAAAAAGTCGACAATTTGCAAGAACAGATAGTAGTAATAATGTAAGCAGAGAGATGAAAATTCTAAGAATAAAAAGGAATATTAGAGACCAAAAATACTATAACAAAAATGAAAGATGCCATTATGGGCTTAGTAGACTGGGCACTGCTGAGAAAAGAATCTTTGAGCTTGAGGATATGTCAATAGAAAATCCTAAAACTGAAAAACAAAGAAAAAAAAAGACTGGGAAAAAAGAACAGAATACCCAAGATCTGTGAGATGACTACAAAAGGTATAACACATATGTAATGAGAATATCAGAAGAAGAAAAAGGAGAGAATGGAAAAAAGAAATATTTGAAGCAATAATGGCTGAGTTTCCTCAAATTCATGTCGGACATCAAACCGCAAACCCAGGAAGCCCAAAGAACACCAAGCACGATAAATGCCAAAAACACACACACAGACACACACACACACACACAAAACCAGCTACATGAAGTCACATTATATTCAAAATGCAGAAAATAAAAGACAAAATAATTCTAAAAGAAGCCAGAGGAAAAAGCACCTTCCCTATAGAAGAGCAAAGAATTGCACTGGATTTCTCCTCAGATACCATGCAAACAAAAACAGAAAGGAATGAAATATTTAAAGTGTTCAGAAAAAAAACACTACCTATAATTTTGTATCTGCAGAATTATTCTTCAAAAGATCTGTTCATATTTTTTCTATTGTATCTGCAAAATTATTCATCAAAGATTTTTTTTCAGGCAAACAAAAATTGAGGACATTGGTTGCCAGGGAGTACTTTGAAAGTACTTAAATTAGTTCTAAATTAGTTATATTGCAAACTCTAGTGCAACCACTAAAAAAGTTTTTTTAAAAAAAGTTCAATTGATATACTAAGAAATGAAAGAAAATGAAATCACATAAAATACTCCATTAAAACCACAAATGGCATAAAAATGTAGAAGACAAAAATAGGAGCAAAGGACAAAGGCAACAAATAGAAAATACCAGCAAATATGGTAGCTATTAATCCAATTATATAAATAATTACTTTAATCATCAATAGACCAAATATACCAACAAAAGACAGATTTTCAGAATGTATCAAAAACAAGACCCAACTGTATGTTTTCTAAAAGAAGCCCACTTCAAATATGAAGACACATATAGCTTAAAAGTAAGGAGATGGAGACAGATATGCCATGCTAACACTAATCAAATGAAAGCTGGAGTAGCTCTATTCATTGCAGATAAAGCAGACTTCGAAGCAAGAAAAGTTAATAAACTGTGGTAGATCCAGACAGTGGAATACTATTCAGTGCTAAAGAGAAATGAGCTATCATGTCATGAAAGAACATGGAGGAAACTTAAATGTTATTAAATGGAAGAAGTCAATCTGAAAAGTCTACCTATTGTATAAGTTCAACTGCCTGGCATTACGGAAAAGGCAAAACTATAGTGAAAGAGAAAAGATTAGTGGTTGCCAGGGGATGAGAGGGAGGGAAGGATGAATAGGCTGAACAGAAGACTTTTAAGGTAGTGAAATTATTCTATATGATATTACAATGATGGACATGTCGTACATTTGTTAAAACCCATAGAATGTACAATACCAAGAGTGAACTCCAACGTAAACTATAGACTTTGACGATGTTTCAGTATAGGTTCATGGATTGTAACAATCCATGTGAGATGTCATTAGTGGAGAAGGTTGTACATGTGTAGGGACAGGAAGTATATGCAAACTACTTTTCTCTTGAATTTTCTGTGAGCCTAATACTCTAATAAATAAAGTTTATTAATTTTCAAAAACAGAGATAATAGTGCTTTTGAGAGCATTGCCTGGCACGTAGCGATGTTCAATAAAAGCTATTTTATTTATTTATCTAGTTTATAATTCTTCCATAGAGTGGGTAGGAAAGATTTTCCTCCCATAACCACCATCTTGCAGATTCTGATGATTCTGCTTCCTCACACTTTGAATTTTCTTTCCTCTTACTCCTAGTTCTCCTCTTCATCCTCTTCTGCTCTCTTTCATCTTCTGTCTCTCCCCGCCCCCTCTCTCTCATTCATTCATCTCTCTATTTCTCAGTGTCTGCCTCAGAAACATAAAATTATCTGTATTGGTTGAACTGAATATGATGCTGTTCATACTTTATCTAGTCCCAGGACACACAAATAGTAGCCGATTTGTACAGTTTATAAAGAGAATTGACTTAAAAGGCTGTTGATGGTCGTGACTACCAAAACAAGATGTCATAACAATTTTAAGACTAAACAGGATTAGTGGGAATGCTGCAAAATAACAAGTTTGGAAACTACTGTATATTTCTTTAAAAAAAAAAAAAAAAAGCTTGCCAGAAGAGAGATATTATAAGTGAGTTTTACCCAGAACATCCTCATTTTCATAGAGACATTACCATCTTTTGAAGGAGTAAAAAGTAGCTGACTTCTAAGCTCTTTTAAAACCAGAGGCTTTGAACTGACTACTATAGTAAGACACCCCTTAGAGGTCCAACAAAGTAAACTACTATCATTAAATTCAGTTCATCCCATATTCAAGGCACCTACAACCTGAAGCAAGATTTTAGCTAATGACTAAAGCAGTAAAACAGAAAATGAGAATAATTTATTTCCTTCTCTGTATTCACTTGGGTCCATCCTTGCTAAACAGTTATGTGCTTGCTAGCTATTGCACATGTACATACACACATAAGCAAACACACACACACACTCACTCTCTCTCTCCTTCCTACTACCAGCTAATCCTGCTTCCTGGTAGTTCTCCCTCCATCAGATTTCAGTACAAGAGGACTTCTTATTTCCTGCCTTCCTGATTTCTCCTTCTCCCATCTCCTCTTTATCATAGCAATTCAAAAAATGCATCTTATCTTTACCCAACTTGATATCAGATTCCTATAAGGTTACCATTCCATCTTTGTGGTAAGCTCTTCAGCTTTTATGTCCAGCTCTCATTTCTTCCATATTTGAAACCACCTACTGATTATTTCCACATAAATACCCAACAAAATCAAAATGTACATACTGGTTTCATTACTCTCCCACTGCTCAACTCTTCATCCTCGGTTTCCCATTTTCATTTCTGTCTCAATCATTATCCAGGTCACTCAGACTTTAAAACTTTGCTGTTTCACCTTAAGATCTCACTTCACCTTAACCCACAACATACTCATTGCCAAGTCCTGTCTCTCCTAGCTCAGAAAGTCTTTCCAGTCTCTTCCCTCTTTCTTGTTATTACCCTCATTCTTAATTTGATCCTGATTTCCTCTCACCTGTACTATTGTTAAAGCTTTTTTAAAAACACTTCTTGCTCTTCCTAATTCAAGCTGCTTGTACATTGCTGAGAGCTTAGTGTTACTGATGAGCAATTCTAATGTTGCTGCTTCTCTGCTCATAGATGTTTAATGTTCCTGACTGCAGAATGAAACTCAATTTCTTTATTCTGGCATATCACCATCTATGATCCTCCTCCTACCTCTCTTTCTAGCTCTATTTCCTATTAATCTCGCATAGTCTGTGCTCCTGGCCAACTGAACTTCAGACTTTTCTCAATGTACCTTCCAGGTTGCTACATTGCTCCCCTTGCTCATGTTCTTGCCTCTTTCTCCTGGTATAAGTAGCTAATTATATGCTGCCTGAAGTAGTTAATTGACTAACTTCCCAGTTAGAGTGGAAATTCTGTGAATTAAGGGTCTACTTCTAGTATATCTCCGATCCTCCCTCACACGTTGAAAAAAGTTCATTTGAAATATTTTTATAATGAATAAGTGTTTCCTTATCTCATAATGTCTTCTGGCATTTTAACAATAGTATTCATGTTAGTTTATAACATTTTTCTTTTGCTGGTAAGTTATTTATCTAGTTTACAATTCTTCCATAGAGTGGGTAGGAAAGATTTTCCTCCCATAACCACCATCTTGCAGTATATTCTTCCTCTAGGAGTTTGATTCAAACCATCTTGTTCTATCATCATCCAGGCTTTAAACTGTTTCTATTGTAAAGGCATCATGTGGGGCATCTTTTTTCTCTACCTATCATATTCCCTTTCTTCTACACCATGCTACAAATGTTCTCTGTTAAGTAAGGATTTTTTTAATTACATGTGAATGCTCTGCCCTCTACTAAGCTAGGAAGTTGTAGGTTGGGAAAAAATCACTACAGATATTTGAAGTCATGAAAAAAAAGATATGTTTGTATTTCTGAAAGGTATGTTGATAGCTAAAAAAAGAACATCATTAATTATGTGGATCCATTTAATAAATATCAAATTATATTACAATATGAAACTATTATTTTACTTTGGTAATGTCGCTTTTACAATCAAAATAATCATAATCATCACAATGTGAATCAAATATACAAGAATTTTGGTAGTATTTTAAAAATCATTATGTAAAAGTTTAGATTTTTCTTTGCTTATAATCTATTGTAAAATAAAAAATACTAAACTCATTTTGATACAAATACTTGATGTAGTAATTAGATTTTGAAAAATATTCTCTTCATTCAACTGCAGTTTATCATAAACAATGGCTATTTTTAAATGGACTAGAGTATTTGATATAATCAAGATTTTCTGATTGGCAGCTTAATCATCTTGGTTTTGCCTTATGGGAAGGGTTTCTTTTTATTATCATTTAAGATATTTTTATGAATTAGTGTTATTGTCAATATTCATCATTTTAATAGTCAGAAAAGTCTGCCAAAATTCACTCTTGAAAATGATAGCTATTTACTTTAAAAAATTTACTCTTCAAAAAATCTTCTAAGCTTTTTCTTAAGTGTGTTTCAGTATTTTTCTGGCAATTTTCTATGTATTTTACCCACACTTTGAAATACTTGGGAACTTAATATTATATTTAAAAGTCATTATTTCAAAAACATAAAGAAGAATATTATGCTACACATTCAATTCTTTAAATTATCTACAAGTGGCATAGACCAGGGGTTCCTAGCACCCGGGCCATGGTATCAGTGTGGAGTGTTAGGAACCGGCGGCACAGAAGGAGGAGAGTGGTGGGTGATCCAGCGAAGCTTCCTCTGTACTTACAGCCACTCCCCATCACTCTCATTACTGCTTGAGCTCCACCCGCTGTCAGATAAGCAGTGGCATTAGATTCTCCTAGGAGCACAAACCCAATTGGGAACTGCACATATGAAGGATCTAGGTTGCACACTCCCTATGAGAATCTAATACATCACCCCCAGATGGGACCATCTAGTTGCAGGAAAACAAGCTCAGGGCTCCCACTGATTCTATGTTATGGTGAGTTGTATAATTATTTCATTATACATCACAATGTAATAATAATAGAAATAAAGTACACAACAAACGTAATGGGCTTGAATCATCCCAAAACCATTCCCCCATCCCACCCCAGTCTTTGGAGAATGTCTTCCATGAAACTAGTCTCTGGTGCCAAAAAAAATGGGAACTAGACTATTAGACTATTACTCTACATTTTTCATATTTGTAGAGACATACCGATAAACCTAACAAACAAAATCATTTTTTTTTTGTTGCCAAGTTTGTGGTTTCTGTTTTGTTCTGGTTTTCTATTTTTGTTTTTGTTCTCAAAACATTTTATCTCATTTTGTTTTGCTTTTATGTGCATGCATGCATCATGAATATACATGAATAAGAAATACTGAAGAAACCATTATTTATTCTATAAGTTATTAGGCTTTTTGATTCGTCTGTGCTTTTAAGGAAACTTTTGCTGTTAGGTCTCCAGGCAAGTCTAATTGAGAGAGATGGTGCTGTTACTTGGGTTTCAAATAATCTACACAATCTTCAAAATATAGCACTGGGATTCTACTTTTGACAGTTGGCACAGAAGATAGTCTGAAAACCTTCCCACTAAAAAAAAAAATCTATTAAAATGTTGGACAAAATAAAATAAACATTCTTTTGAATTTGTAGTTGAGTTCAGAATGTCATTTCCACAGTTCCAAAATAAAGGAATGCAGTAAGAGCCAAAAAACTGAGAGGAATCCGTTTTTAAAAGCATGACAGACAGTGATACCACAACATTTGCTGGTTTTAGCTACTTAAGATATAGGATTTCAAGGCCAGCATGAGACACAAAAAAAAAGATCTTTGTGCCTGAACAAAATCAAGAGTTGAAACTGAAAACTGTTAATAAATAAAGTTTAGAACTCCAAGGGACTTCAGATTCAATGACAATGAGCAGGTGGAGGAGGGGGAGTGCCTAACAGAAAAGAAAAGCAACAAGAAAACTACTGGTGCTCAGCCACGTCAGCTACAGTTGGGTAAGTAACCACCCCCTACCCTAAGAATTCTTTAATGACCCTTCTCTCATGTAAGGTTCAGGGTTCTAACTTATTTTACAAATGTGGTTGAAGAAATTCTCAACTAGAAATATAAGAAGTGCCAGTATGAAAGTGTCAGGATATTTGGAAGAAGCAAATGTAAGTTTACTTTTGCAAATGTAAATTCTACAAATTGGGTTACTATTGATCCTCACCAATAAATATCAATAAAAAAACCACATAATAAAAAAGGGAATACCAGCTAAAACAGATGAGCTCCCCAGGCAAAATGCTGTGGAAAAAAAAAATAAACAGCAGCATTATACTCCAAAGGATTTTGGCTGTGAGATTCATTAAACTCAAAAATAAAAAACTAATATATGTTAAATGCTCAGGAAAATGCCATAGGAAATTGAAAAACAAGCAGGGCAAAAGAGAAACTATCACAAAATTCCAGGCAATGTAATAAAATATATCATCATTGAAATTTTAAAAGGTGAATTAAACAGCAGATTAGGTATAGCTAAGAAAAGAATTAAAGAACAGGAAGTTAGGCCTGAATAATGTAGCAGAGAGAGACAAAGCAAATATGCAAGATAAGTTAAAAATGATTGACAGAAAGTAGTATAATTATTCTAGCATATATACAATTATTTTAAATCAAGAGTGAAATAATATTTTCAAATTGCACAGAGAAGCTAAATATCAGTCTAGAAATATCTGCACAGGTAAACCTTCATTTAGACAATAAGGTCCAAATAAGTATATCCTCAGAAAAACAAAAAACTGAGACGGTTTAGCATCTTGAAAAGGAAATTTTCCAGAATAAGAAAAACTGTTTCAGAATTACAGTCTCAAATAATCAAAAAGGAAAAGATTATCTATATAAAGCAATAATTTAAATATATTTCTTGAGTTGAAAATCATACAGAAAAAGATACAATTTTTTTCAAATTCTCTGTGATGTTATTCTTAGTGTGCCAGTTGTCCTCAGCATGCTCCTTTATGGTTGTAGTTAACCCACCAGCTAGCAGTAACTTTTTCTGTTTGGAAAGGGATATTTTAGGTGAAAGGAATGCTCTAGATGAAAGGACCCATGAAACTTTCCTAAGTGTCAGCTTCCTTAATTTCCATGAGATTTATCCTCCATGCTTAAGTACTCATATATTTTATTAAGGCATCTAGATACTGTCTATTTCTGTGTCCGATCACCAGATATTGTCAACAAGATATCATCAACATGGAAGATCATCAAACAGAATACTTGGCAAACAAGTTCCTCATAGATTGAATTGTGATACAGTGTTGGAGAGTTGATATAACCTTGAGACAAGACTGTGAAGGTATAATTTCATCCTTGCTAGGCAAAGGCAAACTAATTCTAAAGTTCCCATCTTTTCAGAATAGAGAAAAAAAGGCTTTGCTGAATATTTACATACTAGGTAAAGAAAACATTATTTATTTGGTTTCATAAAGTGATCACATCTGAAACAGGGGCTATTATTGCAACCATGCTTAATTAGGCTTACTACTTACTAATTATTATTCATTGTCATTCTCAAACACTCATTTCCAAAGACTTTCCATACTAGCCATACCAAAGGGGGAAAAATGGGCATAAAATATGAATTACTATGACTGTATTTTGAAATCTTAATGAGCCATTGAATTCAATGATAATTTTAGTGACAGTTGTTTCACTGGAATGATGAGGACAGAAGATAAATTAGAAGGATTGAGGCATTAGAATATCTCACTGTGGCCTTATAAGTGTTCTCTAATTTTCTGGGTGCTAATTTTTATAATTACCAATGACTTTATAATTTGTCTTGCATAAAGATATAAAGAATAATGTAACAATAATTTGTATGCCCGCTACCTAGTGTAAGAAATAAAACATTACGGCCAGGTGCAGTGGCTCATGCTTGTAATCCCAGCACTTTGGGAGGCCGAGGTGAATGGATCACGAGGTCAGGAGTTCGAGACCAGCCTGACCAACATAGTGAAACCCTGTACCTCTACTAAAAAGTACAAAAAATTAGCTGGGCGTGGTGGCACACACCTCTAGTCCCAGCTACCCGGGAGGCTGAGGCAGGAGAATGGCTTGAACCCCAGAGGCAGAGGTTGCAGTGAGCCGAGATGGCACCACCGCACTCCAGCCTGGGCGACAGAGCAAGACTCCGTCTCAAAAAAAAAAAAAAAGAAAGAAAGAAAACATTACTAACACATTTGAAGACTTTGCATAACCCTACCACCTCCTCAGGAATAAACACTACCCTGAGTTATCTTTATCATCCATGTGTTTATTTGTATTCTTACTATATATCACTAAATAATAGATAGGATTATTTTATTTTTTCTAAAAATTTATGTAAATAACAAATGCAGTATTGTTTTGCAGCTTGCTCCTTTTGCTCAATATGCTCTAGAAATTTATCCATAATATAAATTGATCCACTTATATTTGTAGAAGTTATTTCCCTGCTCTATAGTATTCCTTTCTATACCTGTATCATAATTCATACTTTTGATAGTCTATTAATGGAAATTTGTCTTTCTTATTTTATAGTACAAAATATACTATTCTGGATATTCTTACATATGCTTCCTTGAGTACATTTGCAAGAGATCTAGAAATATCTAGGAAAACGATTGATAGTGTTACATACTTCTTAATTATTACTGGATACTGCCAAATAGTTTTCCAATGTGTTGTACAAAATGTTTACTAGACCCAGTAAGATGTAACAGTTTCATCTAATCCACATCTTCACCAACTCTTGCAATTATGAGATTTATTTTTCCAGTCTGAAAGATATAAAATTATGATACCTAATAGTGATTGAAATTTGTATTTTCCTAGTATTCATGAGGTATTCTTTAACACATTTCACTTTTTATAAACATTTTTTGCCAAAATGTCTCTTTTTGTAATTTGTCCAATTTTTTTGTGTTCTGGTTTTCATTACCAACGACTTACTAATTATAATTTTCTTCCATATTCTCCTCCTTCCATTAGCATGGCTGTAGGAAACAATACAATGATCATGACAATGTCAGTGTACCGAGCGTCAGCCAAAGCAGGGCAAGGTATCACCTCACCTGGGAAGCCCAAGGGGTCAGGGAATTCCCTTCCCTAGTCAAAGAAAGGGGTGACAGATGGCACCTGGAAAATTGGGTCACTCCCACCCTAATACTGGGCTTTTCCAACCCTCTTAGCAAACGGCACAGCAGGAGATTATATCCCATGCTTGGCTTGCAGGGTCCTACACCCACGCAGCCTTGTTCATTGCTAGCACAGCAGTCTGAGATCAAACTGCAAGGTAGAAGCGAGGCTGAGGGAGGGGCCTCCGCAACTGATGAGGCTTGAGTAGGTAAATAAAGCAGCCAGGAAGCTCAAACTGGGTGGAGGCCACCGCAGCTCAAGGAGGCCTGCCTTCCTCTGTAGACTCTACCTCTGGGGGCAGGGCATAGCTAAACAAAAGGCAGCAGAAACCTCTGCAGACTTAAATGTCCCTGTCTGACAGCTTTGAAGAGAGTAATGGTTCTCCCAGCACACAGCTTGAGATCGGAGAACGGAACAGACTGCCTCCTCAAGTGGGTCCCTGACCCCAGAGTAGCCTAATTGGGAGGCACCTGCCAGTAGGGGCGGACTGACATCTCACACGGCTGGGTACTCCTCTGAGACAAAACTTCCAGAGGAACCATCAGGCAGCAACATTTCCTGTTCACCAATATCTGCTGTTCTGCAGCCTCCGCTGCTGATACCCAGGCAAAAAGGGTCTGGAGTGGACCTCCAGCAAACTCCAACAGACCTGCAGCTGAGGGTCCTGACTGTTAGAAGGAAAACTATCAAACAGAAAGGACATCCACACCAAAACCCCATCTGTACGTCACCATCATCAAACACCAAAGGTAGATAAAACCACAAAGATGGGGAAAAAACAGAGCAGAAAAACTGGAAACTCTAAAAACCAGAGCAGCTCTCCTCCTCCAAAGGAATGCAGCTCGTCACCAGCAACGGAACAAAGCTGGATGGAGAATGACTTTGACGAATTGAGAGAAGAAGGCTTCAGACGATCAAACTACACCGAGCTAAAAGGAGGAAGTTTGAACCCATGGCAAAGAAGATAACAACCTTGGAAAAAAATTAGACGAATGGCTAACTAGAATAACCAATGCAGAGAAGTCCTTAAAGGACCTGATGGAGCTGAAAACCACAGCATGAGAACTACGTGACGAATGCACAAGCCTCAGTAGCTGATTCGATCAACTGGAAGAAAGGGTATCAATGATGGAAGATGAAATGAATGAAATAAAGTGAGAACAGAAGTTTAGAGCAAAAAGAATAAAAAGAAATGAACAAAGCCTCTAAGAAATATGGGACTATGTGAAAAGACCAAATCTACGTCTGATTGGTGTACCTGAAAGTGATAGGGAGAATGGAACCAAGTTGGAAAACACTCTGCAGTATATTATCCAGGAGAACTTCCCCAATCTAGCAAGGCAGGCCAACATTCAAATTCAGGAAATACAGAGAATCCCACAAAGATACTCCTCGAGAAAAGCAACTTCAAGAAAATAATTGTCAGATTCAACAAAGTTGAAATGAAGGATAAAATGTTAAGGGCAGCCAGAGAGAAAGGTCGGGTTACCCACAAGGGGAAGCCCATCATACTAACAGCTGATCTCTCGGCAGAAACTCTACAAGCCAGAAGAGAGTGGGGGCCAATATTCAACATTCTTAAAGAAAAGAATTATCAACCTAGAATTTCATATCCAGCCAAACTAAGCTTCATAAGTGGAGAAATAAAATACTTTACAGATAAGCAAATGCTGAGAGATTTTGTCACCACCAGGCCTGCTCTAAAAGAGCTCCTGAAGGAAGCTCTAAACATGGAAAGGAGCAACCGGTACCAGCCACTGCAAAAACATGCCAAATTGTAAAGACCATCGAGGCTAGGAAGAAACTGCATCAACTAATGAGCAAAATAAGCAGCTAACATCATAATGACAGGATCAAATTCACACACAACAATATTAACCTTAAATGTAAATAGGCTAAATGCTCCAATTAAAAGACACAGCCTGGCAAATTGGATAAAGAGTCAAGACCCATCAGTGTGCTGTATTCAGGAGACCCATCTCATGTGCAGAGACACATATAGGCTCAAAATAAAGGGACAGAGGAAGATCTACCAAGCAAATGGAAAACAAAAAACGGCAGGGGTTGCAATCCTAGTCTCTGATAAAACAGACTTTAAACCAACAAAGATCAAAAGAGACAAAGAAGGCCATTACATAATGGTAAAGGGATCAATTCAACAAGAAGAGCTAACTATCCTAAATATATATGCACCCAATACAGGAGCACCCAGATTCATAAAGCAAGTCCTTAGAGACCTACAAAGAGACTTAGACTACCACACAATAATAATGGGAGACTTTAACACCCCACTGTCAACATTAGACAGATCAACGAGACAGAAAGTTAACAAGGATATCCAGGAATTGAACTCAACTCCGCACCAAATGGACCTAAGAGACATCTACAGAACTCTCCACCCCAAATCAACAGAATATACATTCTTTTCAGCATCACACCACACCTATTCCAAAATTGACCACATGGTTGGAAGTAAAGCACTCCTCAGCAAATGTAAAAGAACAGAAATTATAACAAACTGTCTCTCAGACCACAGTGCAATCAAACTAGAACTCAGGATTAAGAAACTCACTCAAAACCGCTCAACCACATGGAAACTGAACAACCTGCTCCTGAATGACTACTGGGTACATAATGAAATGAAGGCAGAAATAAAGATGTCCTTTGAAACCAACGAGAACAAAGACACAACATACCAGAATCTCTGGGACACATTCAACGCAGTGTGTAGAGGGAAATTTATAGCACTAAATGCGAACAAAGGAAAGAAGGAAAGATCTAAAATTGACACCCTAACATCACAATTACAAGAACTAGAGAAGCAAGAGCAAACACATTCAAAAGCTAGCAGAAGGCAAGAAATAACTGAGATCAGAGCAGAACTGAAGGAGAGAGAGACACAAAAAACCCTTCAAAAAAATCAATCCAGGAGCTGGTTTTTTGAAAAGATCAACAACATTGATAGACCACTAGCAAGATTAATACAGAAGAAAATAGAGAAGAATCAAATAGATGCAATAAAAAAATGATAAAGGGGACATCACCACAGATCCCACAGAAATACAAACTACCATCAGAGAATACTAGAAACACCTCTACGCAAATAAACTAGAAAATCTAGAAGAAATGGATAAATTCCTCGACACATACACCCTCCCAAGACTAAATCAGGAAGAAGTGGAATCTCTGAATAGACCAATAACAGGAGCTGAAATTGAGGCAATAATTAATAGCTTACCAACCAAAGAAAGTCCAGGACCAGATGGATTCACAGCCAAATTCTACCAGAGGTACAAGGAGGAGCTGGTACCACTCCTTTTGAAACTATTCCAATTAATAGAAAAAAAAGGAATCCTCCTTAACTTGTTTTATAAGGCCAGCATCATCCTGATACCAAAGCCAGGCAAAGACACAACCAAAAAAGAGAATTTTAGACAAATATCCCTGATGAACATCGATGCGAAAATCCTCAATAAAATACTGGCAAACCGAATCCAGCAGCACATCAAAAAGCTTATCCACCATGATCAAGTGGGCTTCATCCCTGGGATGCAAGGCTGGTTCCACATACGCAAATCAATAAATGTAATCCAGCATATAAACAGAACCAAAGACAAAAACCACATGATTACCTCAATAGATGCAGAAAAGGTCTTTGACAAAATTCAACAACGCTTCATGCTAAAAACTCTCAATAAAGTAGTTATTGATGGGGCGTATCTCAAAATAATAAGAGCTATCTATGACAAATCCACAGCCAATATCACACTGACTGGGCAAAAACTGGAAGCATTCCCTTTGAAAACCGGCACAAGACAGGGATGACCTCTCTCGCCACTCCTATTCAACATAGTGTTGGAAGTTCTGGCCAGGGCAATCAGGCAGCAGAAGGAAATAAAGGGTATTCAACTAGGAAAAGAGGAAGTCAAATTGTCCCTGTTTGCAGATGACATGATTGTATATCTAGAAAACCCCATCATCTCAGCCCAAAATCTTCTAAAGCTGATAGGCAACTTCAACAAAGTCTCGGGATACTAAATCAATGTGCAAAAATCACAAGCATTCTTATACACCAACAACAGACAAACAGAGAGCCAAATCATGAGTGGACTCCCATTCACAATTGCTTCAAAGAGACTAAAATACCTAGGAATCCAACTGACAAGGGATGTGAAGGACCTCTTCAAGGAGAACTACAAACCACTGCTCAATGAAATAAAAGAGGATACAAACACATAGAAGAACATTCCATGCTCATGGGTAGGAAGAATCAATGTCGTGAAAATGGCCATACTGCCCGAGGTAATTTATAGATTCAATGCCATCCCCATCAAGCTACCAATGACTTTCTTCACAGAATTGGAAAAAACTACTTTAAAGTTCATATGGAACCAAAAAAGAGCCCACATTGTCAAGTCAATCCTAAGCCAAAAGAACAAAGCTGGAGGCATCACGCTACCTGACTTCAAACTATCCTACAAGGCTACAGTAACCAAAACAGCATGGTACTGGTACCAAAACAGAGATATAGACCAATGGAACAGAACACAGCCCTCAGAAATAATGCCACATATCTACAACTATCTGATATTTGACAAATCTGAGAAAAACAAGCAATGGGGAAAGGATTCCCTATTTAATAAATGGTGCTGGGAAAACTGGCTAGCCATATGTAGAAAGCTGAAACTGGATCCCTTCCTTACACCTTATACAAAAATTAATTCAAGATGGATTAAAGACTTAAATGTTAGACCTAAAACCATAAAAACCCTAGAAGAAAACCTAGGCAATACCATTCAGGACATAGGCATGGGCAAGGACTTCATGTCTAAAACACCAGAAGCAATGGCAACAAAAGCCAAAATTGACAAATGGGATCTAATTAGACTAAAGAGCTTCTGCACAGCAAAAGAAACTACCATCAGAGTGAACAGGCAACCTACAAAATGGGAGAAAATTTTTGCAATCTACTCATCTGACAAAGGGCTAATATCCAGAATCTACAATGTACTCAAACAAATTTACAAGAAAAAAAACAAAGAACCCCATCAAAAAGTGGGCAAAGGATATGAACAGACATTTCTCAAAAGAAGACATTTATGCAGCCAAAAGACACATGAAAAAATGCTCATCATCACTGGCCATCAGAGAAATGCAAATCAAAACCACAATGAGATACCATCTCACACCAGTTAGAATGGCAATCATTAAAAAGTCAGGAAACAACAGGTGCTGGAGAGGATGTGGAGAAATAGGAACACTTTTACTCTGTTGGTGGGATTGTAAACTAGTTCAACCATTGTAGGTATCAGTGTGGCGATTCCTCAGGGATCTACAACTAGAATTACCATTTGACCCACCCATCCCATTACTGGGTATATACCCAAAGGATTATAAATCATGCTGCTATAAAGACACATGCACACGTATGTTTATTGCAGCACTATTCACAATAGCAAAGACTTGGAACCAACCCAAATGTCCAACAATGATAGACTGGATTAAGAAAATGTGGCACATATACACCATGGAACACTATGCAGCCATAAAAAATGATAAGTTCATGTGCTTTGTAGGGACATGGATGAGTTTGGAAACCATCATTCTCAGCAAACTATCGCAAGGACAGAAAAACCAAACACTGCATGTTCTCACCCATAGGTGGGAATTGAACAATGAGAACACATGGACACAGGAAGGGGAGCATCACACACTGGGGCCTGTTGTGGGGTGGGGAGAGTGGGGAGAGATAGCATTAGGAGATATACCTAATGTAAATGTTGAATTAATGGGTGCAGCACACCAACATGGCACATGTATACATATGTAACAAACCTGCACGTTTTGCACATGTACCCTAAAACTTAAAGTATAATTAAAAAAAAGACAATGTCAGTATCCCAAGCTGTATTAAAGTGATATATTTTAAGAATTAATTAATTGGCACCTAGTTTCAATCACATGGTCATGTTTAAACAGCACGAGTCATGTTCTCAGTGCCTGATCCACCCAGCCATGATGGGAACAAGTCTGGGGACCATCAACGTAGAGGCCTGGGTCATAGCACGCAGCAGCTTAATTGTAGCTTCACATGTGAAGTCAGTCCTGCATGCCCTTTCTTAATAAAACTCTGCAAACATATTTTGCAAAATATTACTCATGTACCCTCAATAAAAAACAGAACAGAGTGGAACACTTTTAATTAAAGCATCACAGCAGCCCAGACCCTTGCTGGCTTTCTCTGTCTCTGGGAAAGGTTAATCTGGGGGTGAGGGAAGAAATTTTAGAACAACAGAGATAAAATAAGGACATAACCATTGACAAAGTATACTTTAAAAGTATTATAGTCTATATATAAATCAACGGCAATGTGTCTGAAGACTTCTCTGAAAGGGATAAATGTTTTCAAAAGATAAAATTACTGAAATGATTTAAGACGAGGTAAAGACCAATATGCTTTAAGTATATTAATGGAATCATTAATGTATGTTAATTACAATATTACAAATTTATTAATTTCAAAATTAATGAATGTTCAAAGTGCCAAGTAGTAGAGTGTGGCTATCACATGGGGTAATTAGGGAATCAGGCAGTCTTGGAAGGTGAGTTAAGAACAGTCTTCGATGCCAAACTGAAAGGGTTACTATTTGCTGCCAATGAAGGACCAGGGAAGACTCTTTAAACAGAATAAATTCAAATTTGTGTTTAAATAACATCCATTTGGCAGTAATTAACAGAGGAGATATGAAAGGAATGAAGACAAGTTAGGAGGTATTCAAATAGTACAGGCAGAAGAAGATGGCATTCCAAGTGAAGAGGAACCATTTGAATTAAATAACCAAATATAGAATGATGTGGTGAGTGGAAGGATGGGAAGAGGAACAAAGGAAGAAGTTTGGATGACTATGACAAAATTGTTATTTGAATAACTTGATAGATGGAAATTCTAAAATTAAACGCAAGACAAAAATTAGAGGCATGTTTTTTCAGCCATCAAACGTTGAGTATTTGCCAAAAATGTGTTATTTTCTGAGGACACACAAAAAAAATTAAGCCACTCTGCCTGCATTTAAGGAACTCACAGCTGTCACATGGTGAGTCATACAAAAAAAATGGACTATGCAGTTGAATAAGAGCTGCAATAGAAGTATATATTTGTGTTGATAACAAGAAAGGTATTATCAATTCTATATTGAAAAAGATTACATTTCAAAGAAGAAAAATAATAAAATGGGTTTAAATATGTTAAGTTTAGGTTACCTATATTTTTCCAAGTGAATCTGTCCATTAAACAGATGAATATGTTAAGTCAGGCTCTATCTATGTTAAAGATTAAAATCTGACAGTTTTCAGAAATTAGAAAGTAGCTAAAGTTATAGGAACAAATGAGATCACTCAGGGAGAATTTCTAAAGTAGAAAAGATTTAAGAATAGACTAGAGAGAGAATGGTAGCTATTATGGCATGTCAAGTACAATGAGAAATATTGATAGTTTTTCATACCTTTCTTGTCCTAGTTTTATTTTTCCTGCATTGAAGATCTTGTTGGTGTGCTAAACGATGTTTTATTTAGTAAGAGAAAGGAAGTGGGGTCAGAGCTTTGGGGCCTCAGATTTTTGACAGGATCAAATAGCAAATCATGATGATCAACTGTTAACAGAGAAATCAGGGATGAAAAAGTAATGCTAGATTGGAAGTGACAGTGAAGGATGAGAAAGGGTGTTCTAAAACATTGTTTCCTTGTGCATTGCTTTGGTCAGATGTAGAGCAGTTCTTTTCATGCTTTAAATGAAGGAATGAAGTAGGTACAATCAAAAGGAGAAATGTTAGTTCTGCTGATTTTTAGAAGTTCTCTTCTGTGGGGGAAAAATAGATGTAGCAAAAATAACAGCTGTACTAACAGCAACAAGAGAGTAGTAAATTTTTATCAGCACTTAACAAATTTATCAGTGTTTATGGATTAATAGAAATGTGAATGTCTAATGTGAAGAAATTATTCAAGTAAGTGTAATAATTTAGTCTATGAAACTCAAGTCATCTAAATCTAAATTTTTTAAATTCTAAAATAAGCAAAAATGTATAATGTGGTAAAAAAGTTTAGTATAATTTATATATACTATATTATAGGATATACAGTATTATATTTAGTGTTTGTACTATATGTAAATATTTAAGATATTGATAATCATAATTATAATCATTTTAATTGTAATCACTGAAAATTATAAATTGATTCTTATTTATATATAGTATTTAAAATTTCATGTATCTTGAGATTTAATTTTATAATATTATAATAAATGTAGGTAATTATAGTTTCTAAACCTTTGAATATTATTGGTTAGACTTATTTTTTTAATGAATGCTTCTTCAGGAAAGGAGATACATGGACTTATAAACTGGTGATATTCATTTAAATCACAGATTTTAATAAAATTAGACTCATAAGTGGAAAATGTAATATTTTTAAATTAAAATAATAATTGCATCATTTCAGTCACCTTCTTTTTTATAAACTTCGTCACAGAGTTTGTACGATGTCCTTTCTGGGGAAGGTGAAAAACTACTCAACAAAAACATCAGTAGTATTAATTTTTAATTTCTATTGAGTAAATCAAATCTATTTCCATTATAAAGAAATAGCAAACAATATTCTGTTTCTTCTGGTACCAAGAAATACAATCAACTTGTATATGAATAATTTGTGACCCATTGTATTTGTAGCTTTATGTGTATTAGTGTGTCAGACTCTGAGGTTAGCTAATAGAAGGCCTTTATAGAAGGCTAAGGGGATTTGTGCTGTAGACAAAGGGGCATCATTTCTATTCAGAATCACTAACTTTTATTCTGCTAAGTTGCGTTGTGTTCAGGGTAAAGATACTCATCTCTTTTGTGTTTTCTTTATAATATTCTGTTGTACTCTCTTGGATAAAATTTCAATGAGTTGTTATTGATAGTGGCCCTGATTCATACTACAGAACTATGCTTGGTTAAAAAAAATAATAAAAATGATAATCCATACTTTTAGCATAAGTTATTTCAAACTCAATACTGTGCTTTCATAGCTTCCTTTGCCAATTTGAGATTTTTTTTAATATAATTTAGGAACTTAAAAGATTCTCCATCTTGATTTATTAGATGTTCCCATGACTCAAAATTAACTTTATTTTGTGAATCATATCAAAGTTAATATAATTAGTTTGATAAGTCTATATGATCTTTTAAGACATTCAAACATTGCAGAGTATATTTTAGATGTCATTTTGTAGTCAGTACCCAGTAATTCAATACTATAAGTAATATAGTATACTATATGTAAGATGTTTAATACATGTTTCGTATAAAGACCTTGTTGCTTTTTTCATTTATAATTGGAAGAGAAATAAATTTGGAGTGTGTTCAAATAGCATCGCCTGAAGAGGCTTTTGGAAGCAGCGGGAAAACACTCTGCCTAACCCCAATTAGTCTTGTTTTCCATATTCAGGGCAGTTCTGTTTTTCAACATATCCACTAAACACGGTGATAATGAAAATTAATATGGTTAGAAAGCAATTCAATAGCAAATGTTTATTGCTTATAATTGTTGTTTCCTGTCATAATTTTCATAAAACCTGTCAGCACTGAAAACAGGTTCAAAGAGTGTGTGAGCCAGAAAGTAGGCAGGTGCACCTGAATTATATAATAGATGTGCTCCTGCAAAGCAACACGGAAGTCATTTTTTAGCAAATTGAATTATATTTTTATTGTACTTTGTGAGTTCATTGCTTCTCAGAATAAGTAAAACCTAATTATAAAACCAAATAATTTAATTCATATATAAACCCATATATAAAGACTATCCTTTCTCAAACATTTTCTGGTGGACTTATCAATAGTGTGAAAAGCCCTAACAACAAGAAAAATGCTGGAATCTCATCATTACCTTTTCTCATCCCATTTTATTTATAAAATATTTTTCTGATTTTTGTTTTCAAACTACCATGTATGATCATTTTAGTTGTATTTGTATTTATCAAAGAATATAGCATTTGCCTAACATGTGCAAAGTTGGACATGCCATAGGGGGATCAAAGGTGAATCAAACACAGATCTTTTCTTCAGAGAATGTATACTGTAGGAGGATAGATGAGATAGGCTTATGGACTTTCCTTTTTATCTAGTCTTCCATCTCACATTAGTTTCAATGCTCCTGGTGACAACAAATGTCAAGAAAAATGGTCAAGAGAACATGATGGCACATTTGTCCAGGACCTCCCAAAAACATGTGCAACTCCTAACTTGGGGTTTCCTTCTATGAAGCTAAAATCTAAGCTCCATTAGGGTAATCTTTATATATTTGCTCAACACTGTATTCCCTGATGAGTATTTGGGATGTAGTAGTCACTTGATAGATGTTTGTTGAATGCGTTGAATTCATTAGTGACTCCCAGTAAGATAGGCAAAAATAACACGAAGAAACTGTCTAAAACCATATCTATGGTAGAATCAACAGATATGCAACATCCAAATAGTTTCCAAGTTATATGCTAAGGATCCTATTTATTTACAAGCCAAGTCCATCTCTTTGTAAACTTAACCATTTTCCTCTACTAATGGTATCCAAATTCATATCCAAACTTCTCCTAGTGTCTAGCTAGTTACATTGCATCTTAACTTGATTGGTATATGGCTTTTCTTCTATCATTAAAAGTTGATGCATGTGCAGTTCAGCATCTGCAAACCTTCTGCTCCATAAGTGACATTCCAACTATGTTATAATCGTTTCTGGTCACAGGAAAGGAAACTCACCTCCTTAACTCATATTTTCCCCAGTGCCTTCTTAGAATTCATATGCTTAGGACATTCTATTTCTACTAATTAAAGTCACTTCACTGCCTTCATCCAAATTATTAGGTTTACTATATTATCAATTCTATATTTATGCCAACAATTGTAACGTAGGATAAAAAACAATACATAGACTAAAAAAGTTGCGGATACAATGCTTTGAGGAGTTCAAATTTGGGAGAATATTCAAGTAGGCCTTGAATTAAGGGAGAAATTTTATACCTAGGATTTGAGGAAGAACGTTCTACAAAGATAGAACAGTATGAACACAAGTAGAGAAACAAAAGAAAGTTGGTTCAACCTTAGCAGGAGATATGTATGTGTAGAAGCACTAAAAAGGAAGACCATGGAGGGCCTGGCTTACTTGATAATTATACTGTAGCCACTGAAGTTTTTGACCAAAGGTCTCAGGTAATTATGATTGAATAAAATTGACATGGCAGCAATGACAACTAATAGACACTGTAGGAAGGAAAGCAAGTTAGAAAGAAGCCACTGCAACAGTTCAGTTGAAACAATGAGAACTTAAAGGGTTGTGGTAGCAGAAGGAAAGACAAAAGCTTTGATTTAAGCAAGTGTCAGGATCTAGCAACTAGTTTGGGAAGAGACGAGTAGATAATGATGCTGAGTTTCTAAGCTTGGAACACTAAGTACTATGAGTTAGAAACTGAAGGAGCAGCAGATGTAGAAAAGTCAGAAATGATTAGAGGACTCAAGACAGAGGACAGAGCCTTGGAAACTATGTGTGTTATAAAGTGGTTGAAGAAACAGTCTGCAAAAGGTAGGTAAGAAGACAGCCAAAGTACAGAACAGTGTCATGAAAGACAAGGAAAGAGAAAGTTTTAATAAAAATGACGGCTTAGTATTATGGAGATTTCTAGGCATCAGTGCTCATAAGCACCGATGAAGAACTTGCTAACAAGGCCTTAATAACCTTTGAAAAAACAGATTCAATAAAATGCAGAACCAGGTAGGTAAATTTCTAAGAGTAAAAGATTGTGTGTAGAAGGCCAACAAACGGTAACTTTTGTGATACCATATAACTTAAGTAAAGCAGTTTAATAATAGTTAAGTTGTATTGTTTATACCTGATTCTAACAACTAACCTTCACAAGTTATAGGCATAAACAGGATATTAAAAATAAACTTTCTTTTGCACAACAGGATATAACACTGTAAACAAATGAGGTGCCATACCTAAAAGCAAGATTTAACTAGAAAGTATTCTTGATTTAAAAAGGGTATGTATTTGGACCAGAAGATTTTAAGAGATAATTTTGAGAAAATGTTTTTGAAGAAGGCTATCTTGTGGACTTCACTCCCCACCCTCTTCCACCCACCGTACCTGACAATGTGTTTGGAGATAGCTACAGCTGGATCACTTAGAAAGTAGCACCATGGACTGTTGACCTATAGTCATACATTCATAGCTGAGCTAAAGCAGCACTGTGTGTGTGTGTGTGTGTGTGTGTGCGCGCGCACGTGCGCACGCGCGCGCGTCTGGAAGGAGAAGGAGGGGGAGAGAGAAAGAGACAGAGGGCTGGGCAGGGTGACTCACGCCTATAATCCCAGCACTTTGGGAGGCCTAGGCAGGTGGATCACTTGGGGTCAGGAGCCCAACCAGCCTGGCCAACATAGCGAAAACCCATCACTACTAAAAATGCAAAAATTAGCCAGACATGGTGGCATGCACCTGTAATCCCAGCTACTCGGGAGGCGGGGGTTACAGTGAGCAGAGACTGCACCACAGTTGCAGCCTGTGCAAAAGAACAAGACTCTGTCTCAAAAAAAACAACAGAAGAAAAACAGAGACAGAGTTTGGTTGGAAATTAACTATACCCCACATACAGTAGGGCAGGAGATGACCAGGAATTTAAGAGTCTTTACCACGGACTAGATATGTACCCCTCAGGAAAAGCAACTGGCCTGAAGTCATTTTATGTTCTTCCCAAATGCTGCTTGTTAAGTGACTAAGATGGCCTTAACACTCTTCTTAGCTTAACTAAACTTTAGAAAGGTTTCTTCCTGACTAGGTCCTTGGAGCATTTACTTTAGAAAACTTTCCGTATTACATTATTTCTCTGTTGCCTTTGAAACATAAATCTTTTAAAGATCTTGTCAGTTTTACCAGCCAGGAATCTTTCTTAAGGTTCTTGGAACCACTGCTCCCCCAAAATGTAATCATAAAAGAAGACAGCAGCCCATCTGTCCACCTCTAGGGGAGGGTATAAGACTAACTTCAATGGGTGCCTTGATTCCTAGTTGTAAAACTATGTCCTAATACAAAGATAAGAGAAAGTTTACTTATCCTTTGAATAAAGCCAATTAGCAAACACAGACAGCCTGTGTTCTCTCTCACTCCAGCTCTTAAAAACTCTCCCACCCTTTACTTTATTACAAAGCAGTTGAGCTCAGACTGAGTTCTGACCTCTCCCTTATTGCAATAGCCTTGGGAAAAGTCATCCTTGCCTACTTAACTTAATCTGTGCAATGTTTGCACTGACACAGGCAAATCACTGTCAACAACAAGAGTTTGAAAAATCAGAGCAAGACCAAGATAGAAGTGACAAGAAAGAAGGCAGGGTATGGCTGCAAATCCTAGGCGTGGCAGTTGACAAAGGTTTCCAAAGATTGAATAAATGCTCATGAGTCATAGTGTTGCCAGATCTAGCAACTAAAATTACAGGATTCTTAAATTTAAATTTCAAATAAACAGCACTATTTTTAGTATATTTCATGTGATGTTTGAGACATACTTATACTAAAAACTTATTTAGGCTGGGCACAGTGGCTCACGCCTGTAATCCCAGCACTTTGGGAGACTGAGGCAGGTGGATCACCTGAGGTCAGGAGTTAGAGAGCAGCCTGGCCAACATAGTGAAACCCCGTCTCTACTAAAAATACAAAAGTTAGCCAGGCATGGTGGCACATGACTGTAATCCCAGCTACTCAGGAGGCTGAGGCAGGAGAATCGCTTGAAGCCGGGAGGTGGAGGTTGCAGTGAGCCAAGATTGCACCATTGCACTCCAGCCTGGGCAACGAAGCAAGACTGTCTCAAAAAACAAACAAATAACAACAAAAAACTTATTTGTTATTTATCTGAAATTTGAATTTAACTGAGCATCCTGTATTTTATCTGGCATCCCTACCATGAAAGAAACAACCAGTTTTAAACATGTTCCCTTCCTAAAGAGCAAGATGCCTGGTTACAACAGTACAATTGCCATTTCTAACAGCTCTTCTTTACTGTGTAGTCTTTCCTTTCCACCCCACCTTACTTTCTCCCCATTCAAAGCTGGAAGGGTCAGAAACAGCAGCTAACCTTAGGAGAGGTGATAAAAAGAAGAACAGAAACCAGGTTACTTCTGCCCCTCAAGGAAGACAGCAGGTGTCAGGCCACCCTACAGAGATAGGCTGGTGAAGGAGGATAGGAGAAATCATATCTCTGATGGAAGATTTAACTGTTACTAAATTTCTTAGACTGGATATTAGTTTCTCACTCACTGTATGACTTAGAGAGATGGTAAAAATAATCGGAAATACTAAATTTCCGTCCAGTGGCAGAGAAAATTCCCCCCATTGTGAGAAAGACAAAAAAGAAAGTTGGCTGGGCATGGTGGCTCACATCTGTAATTCCAGCACTTTGGGAGGCCAAGGTGGGCAGATTGCTTGAGCTCAGGAGTTTGAGACAATCCTGGGCAACATGGTGAAACCCTGTCTCTACTAAAAATACAAAAGTTAGCCAGGCGTGTTGGCACACACCTGTAGTCCCAATTACTTCAGAGGCTGAGGCAGATGGATGACCTGAGCCTGAGAGTTTGAGGCTGAAGTGAGCCGAGATTGCTCCATTGCACTTCAGTTGTGCTGATAAAATGAGACACTATCTCAAAAAAAAAAAAAAGAAGTTGCATTTTCTTTTTTTTATTACCAAATGTTAAAGAAGTTGCATTTTCAACATACCATGTGTTACACTTGTTCTATGTACCAATTATATTTTAATAGATATGAATATAGATCTATAACAATGAAATGTTTTAAATTTTATGTGCACCAAGATTTTGTGAGATTATTTAAAATACAAATAATTCTATAAGTCTAAAACTAATAACCTTGCATATTATAGTAATACTACTTATAAAATAACTAAGTATTATTGAAAAGCACTAAATATTAATGAACATTAATAAAATTCCTCTGTGTGACAGTTCTCTAACCTTTGTGTGTCACAGAATTTTTTTCACTTTATTGACATATAATTACATCAAATAAAATTTATCAATTTTAAGTGTATATCTTGATGTTTGTAACCCAAAGGATAAATGCTTAAGGTGATGGATACTCCATTGACCCTGATGTGATTATGATACATTGTATTCCTGTATCAAAATATCTCATGAAACCCATAAATATATATACCTACAATGTAAACACAAAAATTAAAAATTAACAAACAATACAACCTTCACATCACAAAATATCGCAAAAGAATCTGGTGAAACACTGATTTCACAATGCAAGTACACAAATTTTTTTCAGACAATTTTAGAGTGTTTGTTATGTCTTAAAACCCATCCATAAACATCAAATTATAACTCTTATTCAGTCTTTTCCTCTGTACTGGTAGTGAATTATTTGAGGCAATAAATATAAATTTATTACACTTTATATCTAAAGTTCTTAAAATTGGACCTAACATTTTAAATACTAGTGTTACCTTTTCAAATGAATGCTAACTATAAATGCTAAGTTTTTATCTACTTGAGTAGCAATATAATGCTATCAGAACATATTAATACCATTTTCTTTTTTAGATGCAGGTTTATTCTTTCCATCTTTCAATGGGAATTCCTATTTAGAACTGCCCTTTTTGAAGTTTGTCCTGGAGAAGGAACATAACAGAACTGTTACCATCTACTTGACTATAAAAACAAACAGTTTAAATGGAACTATTCTTTACAGTGAGTATTAAATGTTTGACTTCTTGTATGTCATGTTTCTTTCTCAAACGTTGATCTATTGAATCAATGATTTATTCATTTAAATATTGTGAGAGAATTTTTCCAGACCAGTGCATGAAGCATTACCAAAGAGAAATTTTAGTTCTTTGTAGTTTCTCTAGAAGTTTCTTTATGAGTCATTCAATGGAACGTGACTTACAAACAGGATCTGAGCTGACAAGACAGAATTTAGCAAGCATATGAATTTGACAGCATATGGCTATAGCAGTAAAACAAATGCTGCAAATGTTTCAGAGCATACTTTTATGATATAAATCACTAAATATGAATTACATTCAATACTTGATAACTTGGGAAAAGGCATTCCAAAGCTGGGGTTCATTTGACAATCAAGTAAATTCCTACCACTCTTTTAGTAACATCTATTATCTTGATATAAGCTGGTTTTTTTTTAAGTAGTATTAACAGTATTTGCTTAAGGAAATGTCTTTACATCCAGAGTTCTCTGCATTATTATGCAATTTGCTCATAAAGGTCTCTATAAGCAGAATGTATGGGCTTCTTTCTTCTGTGAATGAACATCACTAAGGTGTATTACCAGCAGTATTCAAAATTTGACAATTGTTTTCTCTTTTGAAATAAATGCACAATCATTTTAACAATTCCTCATATTGGAGGTGTAATGTCTTTAGTACCTTAACAGATTATCCCTTGGACAGTATGGCCACTTTCTGCCATCCCCATAAAGTCACCAATGACTTTCTTCACAGAATTAGAAAAAACTACTTTAAAGTTCATATGGAACCAAAAAAGAGCCCACATTGTCAAGTCAATCCTAAGCCAAAAGAACAAAGCTGGAGGCATCACGCTACCTGACTTCAAACTATCCTACAAGGCTACAGTAACCAAAACAGCATGGTACTGGTACCAAAACAGAGATATAGACCAATGGAACAGAACACAGCCCTCAGAAATAATGCCGCATATCTACAACTATCTGATATTTGACAAATCTGAGAAAAACAAGCAATGGGGAAAGGATTCCCTATTTAATAAATGGTGCTGGGAAAACTGGCTAGCCATATGTAGAAAGCTGAAACTGGATCCCTTCCTTACACCTTATACAAAAATTAATTCAAGATGGATTAAAGACTTAAATGTTAGACCTAAAACCATAAAAACCCTAGAAGAAAACCTAGGCAATACCATTCAGGACATAGGCAGGGGCAAGGACTTCATGTCTAAAACACCAGAAGCAATGGCAACAAAAGCCAAAATTGACCAATGGGATGTAATTAAACTAAAGAGCTTCTGCACAGCAAAAGAAACTACCATCAGAGTGAACAGGCAACCTACAGAATGGGAGAAAATTTTTGCAATCTACTCATCTGACAAAGGGCTAATATCCAGAATCTACAAAGAACTCAAATTTACAAGAAAAAAAACAAACAACCCCATCAACAAGTGGGTGAAGGATATGAACAGACACTTCTCAAAAGAAGACATTTATGCAGCCAAAAGACACATGAAAAAATGCTCATCATCACTGGCCATCGGAGAAATGCAAATCAAAACCACAATGAGATACCATCTCACACCAGTTAGAATGGCAATCATTAAAAAGTCAGGAAACAACAGGTACTGGAGAGGATGTGGAGAATTTTTACACTGTTGGTGGGACTGTAAACTAGTTCAACCATTGAGGAAGACAGTGTGGTGATTCCTCAGGGATCTAGAACTAGAAATACCATTTGACCCAGCCATCCCATTACTGGGTAATACCCAAAGTATTATAAATCATGCTGCTATAAAGACACATGAACACGTATATTTATTGTGGCACTATTCACAATAGCAAAGACTTGGAACCAACCCAAATGTCCAACAATGATAGACTGGATTAAGAAAATGTGGCACATATAAACCATGGAACACTATGCAGCCATAAAAAATGATGAGTTCATGTCCTTTGTTGGGACATGGATGAAGCTGGAAACCATCCTTCTCAGCAAACTATGGCAAGGACAAAAAACCAAACATCGCATATTCTGATAGGTGGGAATTGAACAATGAGAACACTTGGACACAGGAAGGGGAACATCACACACAGGGGCCTGTTGTGGTATCAGGGGAGCGGGGAGCGATAGCATTAGGAGATATACCTAATGTAAATGACGAGTTAATAGGTGCAGCACACCAACATGGCACATGTATACATATGTAACAAACCTGCATGTTGTGCACATGTACCCTAGAACTTAAGGTATAATAAAATAATAAAAAAATAAAAAATAAAAAACAATTATCCCCTTTGGGGCAACTTATTATTTCCCAAACGATTTGCTCCTCTACTTTGAAACAGTTTGCTAAATTGATTCATCATTCTACACTTTCTAAACAAAATACATAAAAGATTTTATTATTTGACTACGAGTAAAATGCCTAAAAGAAGCATTTAGGAAAGCCAGGTGAAGTTAGTAGTTTTTAACATTAAATTAAAACAAAGAATTTATGTTATATTTTAGAAAGAAACCAACTTGCCAGGCTAGGCCAGTATCATTTATTCCCCAGGAGCAGAGGCACCCATGTTTAAATGATAGCTTTAGAGAGTGTCTGACTGATTTATGTTAAAAGAGAGAGAGAGAAGACAATACAAAAGAAAAACTTGTTTTTTATACAAAATCTAAGTGCTGGTAGATGACCATGAAATTTGGAAGTAATAGTACATTGCAGAGTAAACAAAAGAAAAACAGAACAAAAGACACAAACATAATAATCGAAAGACAAAGAAAAGTGATTTTCTAGCTTTGCAATTTTTTAAGTTATATAGAATTGGAAGGCATTTTCTTGGGGAAAATTTATTTCTACCAACTAAAAACAGCTCATAGTTAAAGCAGCACCCAACCACTGGGAATTATCCTGCTCTGGGTTCACGCTCCTGGCTCATGTCCATACCAACACTTGGATGTGTTATCTTTGAAGGCCAGAGAAATACATGCCAAGCATATATACACTCCATTAAAGTTCGTACTTTAATCTAAATCCAATAAAAGTCAAGCTGATGATAGTGCCATAGGATCATTTCTGCCTTCCTTATTCAATGACCTACAAAAACAATCAAACTAGAAATTATTGGTAAGAAAATAATCCCACTGTAACGATTATCCATTTCTGCCCTTGTCTTATATAATTGTTGTTATAGTACCGGACACATCAAAGCTGTTTACTCTAGAGAGTTTCAGAGCCCATGAAGGGAGAAAATATTTTTGTTTGTAAAGCATTCTTTCTGTTCATTTTTAAGGTGGTAATTTAATCCTACACTGTTGGGAATACCTCAGCAGAATGTTTCCTGGGTTGCTACTTTCTATCCTCTTAGAATCTGTCAACCTCATAAAAGCCTCACAACAGATGAGCACAAAGATTTTTGTAATTCAGTTAGATACTGGTAATTTAAAAGGTGTGTCCCTTAACTTAGGGGATAATTGCATTTACTTTGAAATCAGTATATTATGTGTAGGAGCAATTAAAACTAGTGAGAAAATTAAAACAGATGTTTCACTTCAAATATTAGGTGTTGATTTTGTTTGAGTTGCTTTGATTTTAATTTTGCCATTTTTTAATTCCTAAATATTTCAGTTCAACTCAATTCCATTTCACAAACATTTTTTGAACATTGTATTTTATATCAAATCAAATATTTAAGAGACAAGGATAGAGAACTATCAGGCTGATAAACCACTGTCAGCTTTGAATTATATTCCTGGTTCAAAACTGCACATTTATTTTGTCTCAGTTTGCCTCACCAACTAATTGATGTTGAAAAGGAACAAAAGGAAGATAAAACTTGAATCCTTACGGGGTTACGGTAAAAATCCTTAGAAAGGATAGCTTAAAAAAGAACACTCTGTGGGAGAGAGACAGCTCTGAGAGCAGCAGTCAAGATGAAAAGAAAGCTTTTTGAATCTGCCACTGAACCAATTCAGAATTCTGGAACCTAGTCAAAGGAGCTACTAATAGGTCACGAGAGAAGGGATGAGACCACACAAAATTCTTTAGGTGCACTTTCAGAAAATGAGCTCTATTACACAAGCAGTATCAATCAGGAGGCTTCGTCATGGGATATATTACCATGCAGTTGGATCCATTCTGTGCTGCTTCTTTGAAAAGAAATAAGCATGCCATGTGGAAGTATGTGATCTTTGAAAATTATGAGAAGACATCTGACCAAGTCCCAGGAGGCAAATTACATGAGCAACTCCAGTGGGAGGAGAGGATTCAGAAGCAATCTTTATATTACTTAATGTTTGTATTTAAAATAGGAAGCAAAAGAAGGACCAATCTTAGATAAGAGTAATTGACATGCTAGTGGAATTATTGGGGCCTCTTCATTTGCATTTATGGAAGACTAAAAGATTTCTGATACTCCTGGAGAAAACAAATGAAATCTAAAGAGTCATAACACCTGCCTTTCCCTATAAAATGATTTCCAGCAGAATATATAACATCTTCATTAGACACTTACCATATTTCATTTCAATGATGTGGCAAGGCCAATGAAGTCCCACAGCATTCCCTGGCATCATATTAGATAGCATCTTTTCTCTTCTAAGGAAAAAGATTGCTCAGTTGTTTTAATCAATTTTATTGTGTGTACCATAAAATTCTTTGAATATCTTCATCCCTCCTTAATGGGTCCCAATAGAGCTAGCTCAAGACAGATATAGGAAAGAGTAAGTTGCAAACATGGATGGCTGAATTAATGCATTGTCATTCATGAGAAACTTCTATTCATTGTATTTCATCTTTTTTATGACAGCAAAGACAAATTCAACAAATTCTGAGTGCCTAAAATGTGCATAGCTTTCTTTGGGCAATGTGAGGGATACAAAGTTGAATAAGTGATGGTCTATATATCCCTAGTTTCTCACCTTTTAGTAGATAGCTACATAATTCTTTGGGAAACCTGGTTGTGACATGTCTTAAATTAGAAGTATAAATTAAGAACTTGCACAGAGATTCATTTTACCAGGAGTCTGTGCTTACATCTCCTCACCAAATAGCAAACACCTCTGTATTAGCCTGTTTTTACACTACTAATAAAGACATACCCAAGACTGGGTAAATTATAAAGAAGAAGAGGTTTAATGGACTCACAGTTCCACGGGGCTGGGGAGGTCTCACAATCATGGCAGAAGGCAAAAGACACATCTTACTTGACAGCAGGCAAGAGAGAGAATGACAGCCAAGCAAAAGGGGAAACTCCTTATAAAACCATCAGATCTCATGAGACTTATACCCTACCACCAGAACAGTATGAGGGAAAATGCCCCCATGATTCAGTTATCTCCCACCGGGTCCCTCCCAAAACACATGGGAATTATGGGAGTTACAATTCAAGATCAAATTTGGGTAGGGACACAGCCAAACCATATTAACCTCTTAATCTGAAACTGTGTTTCGTAGTTCTCTATTCTCCCCACTCTCCTCAGAACCTCCTCTAGTGCCTTGCATAGCATAGGTACTTGGCTAGAATAGTTCTTAAGTTTTGTTTCTGAGTTATTCAACCTTGATAGTTGTGATAAAAAATAAGTAGGTATTGAATCTTTAGGAAATTATCCCATTGAACATTGTTATAATTTATTCCTCTGATAAATAGAAACAAACACAAATTTCAATGGTTTAGTCAAAATGTAGCTTGAAACAAAGATAATGTTTTCACGCATTTACTTAAAAAATCAGGAATATAGCAGGAGTTGGCAAGTTTTTCTATAACCCTCAGAAATAGATATTTGAAGTAGATATGTTTGCAAGCTGCACAAGTTCAACTCTGCCATAGTAGCCTGAAAGCAGCCATGGACAATATGTAAATGAATGAGTACGGCCATGTTTCAATTAAGATTTACAAAATCAGACAGTGTCAGAATTTGGTCCATGGGCCACATAGATTGCCAACCCTTGACCTAGAATTATGTGATTCATTAAACTTCGCCTAAAATAGAACAATTATATTCTACTTATACAATTGAAATTTATGAAGAAATAAGTCAATGAGAGATACATATAACCTGCATAAAACAGTGCTTGGCAAATGGCAGGCCTGAAATAAGTGACTTATTCAGATAATGCTTTAACTCCTTTCCTCTTGTACCTTGTCTAGGGAATTAAGGTCTTAAGATGCAAGATTTTTGTCTGAGAGGTGTTACGAATGTTATATCCATTTAACAGCCATGTTCATCCTAGCAACAAATAGACTAAAAATCGTGGCATCAAAAATGGGAGAGTAGGAAAACAGACAATTGGTGAAATTTGGAGTTTTCATTTTTATTCATTTCACCCAAATGAAGAAGACCCATTTCCTCTAAGAGTTGTGTATTACTAGTGTTTTTTACTGGTTAGGCACAATTAGCAGACTAGAAAAAATTAAAACAGGCTGTCTATAAATTTCAGAAATTGGCCTGAAGCCAATCTCCAATAGCATGTAATAAACATGGGTGTAATCATTAATTATGTACCAGGCTGCTGCCATGATCCTTCAGTTCTCCCCAGAGCTTCTCTGTCTGCCATCTTCCCACTGACAAACTAGCTTACCCTAACACTGGTTATTATCAGCCCATGTCATCATTGTTGCTGTAAGCTGTCTTAAAATCATGAGCAACTGCTGCTGAGGTTGCTACTGGAATTACTGCTGTATACAAATCCAGACCTTTAGGGGGAACCAGGAAAGAGGAATTCTAAAACTACAGAAGAAACATCTGTGTTCCAACAGAGATCTCAATGCAAGATAACCAAACAGTCTTTATCATATGTCATGAAGCAGCACCAGGATAAACAGATCATCTGACTGCTCCCACAGGTAGCCCTGATTGAAACGTCAGTAGATAACCAAGGATAGATTTGAACCCAAGTTAGTGTGAGCTATTGTACAATATAGGGTACATCTATTCATCTTTCTATGTCTTAGTTTGACTACAAGTGATGCAGGTATGTTTATATTATCAAACTTCACAAGGTTTGAAATGTATATCTATGTAAGTGTTTTGAAAAATACAAAACACCATAAAAATGTGAGGTATTTTTCTGTTAAGGTAGATGATAGAAATCCAGGTAACTTTATGGAAATTTCCAGATTTAATAATCTAGGTACCTGATTTAATAGTGCTTTATCTGCACTTATAACTATTAATTCTATAAGGAATGATGTTAGATTTTATTTAATTCAAACCGATAACCAATGAACCTCTTTTGAATATTTATAAATGATCTCAATTCAAATTGTTGATATTGGGAGCATTATTACAATAGCTCAATTAGAGAAGAATACCCATGTTTAATGGGAGTGGTACCATATAAACAATGAATATCTTCAATATTTCAATAAAGTGATAAAGTATCCATGTTTAGCAAATTCCAGATCTACAATTAAACTAATATCTAAGCAAACTAAAATTGTAAAATAGGTGACTAGAATATCATTGTTTCTCCATGTGATATTTATTTCATTATTTCTTTTTATAAGACTAATTATATATACATATATATTTTAATATATCAGATTCAAACTTCTTAGAATTATCTCTCTAAAAACTATGACATTTAGATACTGGAATCTATGTTTTGAGAGGAATACTATTATTCATTGTTCTAAGCAGCACTTTTATGCTTAACAAATCTTAAATTAGCAGACAATCATTTTATTAGGATAAACAAAATTTGAGAACTAGAGATTTTATAAAGTTTTGAAATGTAGTCTGGATAAAACATTCAGAAAAAAAATCAATAAATGATTCATTTTAAAACTTACTACAAAGCCTAAAAGCCTAAAGAACTATTACCGCATTACTTCTGCACCAACTTAATATTTCAAGAAAAGGATAGGTTCATACTTCTCTAATGGATCATCAAGCATCTTTTCAGTGAAAGAATAGAATGACTTTCTTTCAACGACTTAATGGTAAACTCTTCTAGAGCTTTCAAGTCCTGCCTGAAGGTAGCACAAATTAGAACATTATGGGGGAAATGTTCCAGACACTGCCTTTAACATTTGCCCTATATATATTTGCAAACATATATATATATATGCACACACACACACATATATATAAAGATTCACATTGCTTGATGTCTACATTCAACGAGCAATGTTGAACTAAATTTAATATGACATATGGATTACTCAATCCATAAGGTTTAATGTAAAAATACATACATTTATCTAAGAATAGTCATTACTTAGAATTTTCTTCAGTAGTTGTATTTTGAAAATTCAAGTTTCTTTCTCTTTTCCTAATTGCCACTAACTTTTCCCTTCTAAAATCAAATAATTTTTACCATAATTGTGTTTGAAAATTGTCTTTAATACTGTTTGGAAAAACCAGAGTTCCTCCTGAATGTGTTTATTCATAGCTTTTCTCTACTTATAGAATCCTAGGGTTACATGATACAAAGTCAATTGATTTGAGGGTGAAAAAAGTCAATCAAGTGATATGTCTTTTGTTCCCTAAGGTGATTAATTTGCTATAGAATCATGGAAACACATCAGTAGTGTCAGATCCTCTACTTTCCCACCTACCATCATATGTTATTTGCAAAACACTTTGACCTTTGTAAAAAATATTATATAAAACCACGAATTGTTGTTAATGGAATAAATCAATATGATAAATTAAAACCTGTTAATATATAGCAGACTGTGAAGAGAACTAAGCTTCATTGTTCATTTTTGTTCCCATTACCTTTATTAAAGCAGTCTTATTTTATACTGTACAATAAAGCAGCTACAGTCCATAATGGGATGTTGGTATACTTGAATAAGACTATTCATCTCTGTCATTGATGTTAGTGGCTGAGCTTCCTTTAAAAATAACTCATTCTTGCATAGTACTACATACATCTTGTTGAATGTGTATAGTCAATCTTTAAAATTCAGTTTTTGAAGTTTTGAAAAACAAACCTTGTACATATGGCACAACAGCTTGACCTAAATGCTCAGCTGTTCTGTTCTACCCTACACTATATATCCTATTTTTAAGACTTATCTCAAAAATATGAGTCTGAAATGGTAACATAAAGCAGTTTATGAAAAATATTAAGAAATAGAAAGCTTCTGAGTAGAAACGATAGAATGGAGCAGGATAACAGACTGTCCTTTAGTGCATTAACACCCTCCCCACGCACAAAATGATGGGAGTGGAGAACAAGTCAACAATTCAAGAAAGAAGAACCGCCTTATGCCATTTTATAATATAACCTTTTACAGATCCAAGGAGAAAAACACACAAGTGCTGGTGCAGTTTTGTGTTTCTAAATATGCTCCAACTCCCAACCACCACCTCACCTCCACTCCAGAAAAAAAGTCAAGAATACAAAAAAATTTTAATTATACTCTCAAATTCAGATAAAAGCAGCCTGATCAGCTGAATAGGAAGCCATGGGAAAAATAAGAAAAAAATACTAAAGAGTAGAAGCCGAAAAAAAAAACAACCTGCTAATGGATCTCAGAAGACGCAGAAAAGATAAAGTTGTATTGCCCTATGCCATGCAGTGGGCTAATTTGCTCATTGTACAGTTGAAGTCCTCAGAAGTGATAAACCCAGATGGGTTAAGTGGATCCTAAAATAGGACATTTAGAAGGATCTCAAATGAGTGATTTTCAACCATATGCCTTTTGTTATTCTAAATTATTAAATCTTTAATGCTGTTGTTTTATCTGTTTCCTTACTTCTGCAATATTGACTTAATCTATTTTTATTATTATGTATTACTTTGTGTTGCTCTCATACTGAATTTATATTCTCAATAAGTTCTATAGCTTGAAGCGCAGCACTAATGGGAAACGTACTTCTGTGCCTTGGATTTTTTATGTCCCCCCGGCTCTATATGTTTCTTCAACCATGTTTTGAATTCTTCCTTCCTTCCCCAACTTGGTCATCCTCAGTGTGGGCATCTTTGTCCAGTGCGAGAGTAAAATGTTCCCTAGTATCAGGGACCCCATTTGCACTGTTTTTATGCAAATTTTCCTCAGAGTTGGTTTTGGTTTTATTTGTTTGGATATGATACAAATCATTCCTCCTTATATGTGTTGTAACATCAAAAACTAGAATTAGCTGATTTTTCTTTGTTAAAGAATAATTTTTAAAAGGGTATATAAAAACACATGTCATTTAGCATCAGGAGGTATCCCTAATTAGGAGATATACCTAATTAGGAGATATACCTAATGCTAAATGACATGTGTTTTTATATACCCTTTTAAAAATTATTCTTTAAGATTTAGCTGATTTTTCTTTGTTAAAGTATAATAGTAATAAAAAAATGTCAAAGATTTTATTTACTTATTAATTTATGTAGTAACTGGTGAGATATTATAACAAGTTCAAGAAACAATTCAAGGGGCACAAACATGTATAAAGAATAAGGAATTCTGAAGTAAATTTACAAGTAGATAAAAAAATAGTCTCCCCATGGGGTAATAATTTCATTTCATCAGAAAATTAACATGCATTAGTATAGTCAGGAATCATGTGAATTATTATTAGTTTTCTGCAACTTACAGTATTGGGAAATAGCTCAGAGACAAAGAAAGGTTCAGAGAACCTGGATGAGTAAGCTAAATATTAAATTATTTTCTCATTTCAAAGCCTTTCATAATTTTTCCAGACACCTTTCTCTGAACCATTCTTTGAGCCCTGACTGTTGCTTTTAATCCACTCGTCTAGAACCTGAGGTAGGGGGAACAGATAACCCAGGTTTCTACATAGTCTTGCTGAATTGTTAAAGAAACACTTAATTAATGTTGAGCAATAAGTCTAGTTTCATTCTGGTTTCTGGTTTTTCCTTTTAAGTGGAGGTAAGCTCTCACACAGGGATACTCCGAGTGTATCCATAGACTCCTGAGGGATCCACAGGAGTTTCAAGTGTCCAGAAGGTCAAAATCACTGTGTTGACATTTTCGCTCATGGTGTAAAAGTCATAATGAATAAAATTATTAACACCTTAATATTAAGGCAGCAGCACCAAATCGTACTAGCGGTCATTGTATTCTTTTCCACTGTCCACTCAAAACAAAAATGGACACTTAAAAAAATGTCCTTAGAGATGCAATAAAATTCAATAATCTTATTAAATCTCAACACTTGGGTATACAAGTTTTAATATTCTGTAACATTGGAAGTACACATTAAGAAAGTTGACTACATATTAAAGTATAATAGTTGCCTTGAGACAAGTTGCCAGTTTAACTAGACACTATGAAAACTACTGAAAAAATGACTAGCAGATAATGTATGGTTATTCAGACATGACTATTTGGCAGCTATTTTCTGAAAAAGTAATAAAGTAAGCCTGTTACCTCAAGGAAAACAGCTAATAGTATTTTTTGCCGATAAAACTCAAGCTGTCTAAGAAAAATTAGAATTTTGGAAAAATCTACATTCCCCATAACAAACTTGAGAGCTTTCTAACATTTTCTGATTATCTCAGTGGTAATATTAATGAATTTGATATCTTATTATACAATAAATGTGTCATATCTGAAAACTCTG
Source organism: Homo sapiens (assembly GCF_000001405.40). Taxonomy (NCBI): domain Eukaryota; kingdom Metazoa; phylum Chordata; class Mammalia; order Primates; family Hominidae; genus Homo; species Homo sapiens. The sequence goes on along the minus strand of NC_000006.12, from coordinate 64,070,315 downwards.
CATAACTCTGAACCAATATTTTTCAAATGATCAATTAGTGATGTTATAAAATTATGACTGAGTAAAACATCCATTCAAAGTGCAAGAAAGACCAATAACATTTTAATGTAACAAGGACGTGAAGTTCATTAATACACTTTTAGATTCCACACTGCAACTAAACTTTAACGAACTGCCATTTGTCCAGTTTGTATGTATTTGAAAAAGTTATGAAAATGTTCCTCCTCTTCCCATAACATTTTGTGTGAGGCTGAACTTCCTATACTTTGGCCAAAGAAACAATTCACAACAGATTGAACACAGAAGTAGATATAATAATCCAGCTGTCTCCTATTAAGTTTCAAAATAAAGATATTTGTAAAAGTATAGAATAATTCTCTTGCTGTTTCTTATTTGAAAAAAATATAATTACTTTTCACAAAATATGTTATTTAGGTTAACATGTAATGATATTTTTAAATTAACATTTGAAAATTTTCATGGTTTTAAATGGTAATTCAGTAAATCAAAAGATGCGAAACATGTAAACAAAAGCTCTTTAGAGTTCTCACTGGATTTTAAGTGTCTTAAGGGGTCCTTAGATCAAAGAGTTTGAGAACCACTCATTTCATATAATTTTCTTTTTTAAATACTTTATAGTGTGATCCTGCTCTTATTTTAAGAAATTCTACCTATCTATCCATATATCAATCTTTGTATCTACAGATGTTCACTGAATATTAATGCTGGCCATTTCTGAAGGTTGTAATTTTGGAGAGATTTAAGACACTTTTATTTGTCCATTTTTCTATTGCTTGAGTACAAAAACAATGTCATTATCATAAAATACATATACTGATATATGTATATCACATGTGTATATATACTGATATGTATATACATACATATACTGATAAAAACAATAGAAGAAAAGTAGGGAATGGAAAAACTCAAAAATAGTAAAATATATATATATTCCACAAATAAATATCTGAAAATTCAATATTTACATCATAAGAATTATTTACTTTGATGATTTTGGATCAATTAGAAATCAAAATGGAAAATGAAAAAATGATCCCTGCATTATTTTGTATTGCTGCTATACCAAGTTACCATTAAAACAATAGAAATTTATTCTTTTACAGTTCTGGAGGTCAGAAGTCTGAAATGAGTCTTATGGGGCTAAAGTCAAGCTGTCAGCAGGACTGGTTCCCTCTGGAAGCTTCAGAGAATCCATTCCTTGCCTCTTCCAGCTTCTGGTGGCTGTCAGCATTCTGTAGCTTGTGGCTGCATCACTCCAGTCTCTGTTTCTGTAGTCACATGGCCTTCTCCTCATCTGCCATCAAGTCTCCCTCTTCCTCCCTTTTACAAAGACACTTGTGTCTATGTTTAAGGCCCACCGAGATAATATAGGATAATCTCTCCATTTCAAGCTCCTTAATTCAATCACATCTGCAAAGTCTCTTTGGCAATATCAAATAACACTCACCAGTTCCACCAATTAGTACATGGGTGTCTTTGAGTGTCATAATTCAGCTTATCACAACTCCACAGTACTTACACAGAAAAATTAATTCTAGGTAGAGTGTAGAACTTAAGTAAAGCTTACAGAAGGTAATGTAGAATAAATTCATGACTTTGGGGAAGGCAAATAATTCTTTTTATATATATATATTTATTATACTTTAAATTCTAGGGTACATGTGCACAAACTGCAGGTTTGTTACACATGTTTACATGTGCGATGGTGTGCTGCACCCATTAACTCGTCATTTACATTAGGTATATCTCCTAATGCTATCCCTCCCCCGTCCCCCCACCCCACAACATTTAAACATGACATGAAAGGACTAATCATAACTCTGAAGGAAACAATACATAAATTGATTTACACTAAAATTAAGAATTTACATTCATCAAAACTCACCCTTGAGATTGGCAAGTCAATATACAGAACTGAAGAAGATATTTACAATCCATGTAGTTGGCAAAGAGCTTGTATTCAATAAGAAAAAAGAAACAACTAAATATAAATATGAGCAAGAAACACAAAGTGACATTTCACAACAGAGTATATCAAAACAGTCAGTAAACATGAGAATATGTTCAACTTCACCAATATCAAGAAAGTAAAATTAAAGCTATAATAAACAGAATAGGTAAAATCTACAAAGTGACCATACCAAATGATAAGGCTATGGATCAGCTGGAACTCTTGTATGCTGCTGGTAAAGTGTTAAATATAAACAATTATTTTGGAAAACTGGCAATAGCTACTAAAGTTAATCATATTTATACTTTCTGACAGAGCTATTCAACTCCTAGATATATATACAACAGAAATGTATGCAATTTAACTGAAAGACATATATAAAATGCTCATAGCAGCATTTTTCACAGTAACGAAAGCCTAGGGGGAAAATGTCTATCTACACTAGAAACAGTAATTAAATTTTAAATATTAACTTAATGGATTATTACAAAACAATGATAATGAATTAACTGTGGCATAATCTATCTCTCAAACATAACATTGAGCCAAAACAAATGCAGTAGTCCCTCATTATTTGCAAGGGATACATTCCAAGATCCACCTGAAACTGTGGATAGTACTGAACCCTATCAGTATTATGATTTTTTCCTGTACATCATGCCAATGATAAAGTTTAATTTGTAAATTAGTAAAAGTAGGACATTAACACCAACACATAATAAAATAGAATGATTATAACTATATCCTGTAATAAAAATTATGTGAATATGGTCTCTCAAGATATTTTATTGTACTGTAATTACCTGTTTTGGGACTGTCATAAAGGGAAGACTACAGTAGACTTAAAGAATCCATACAATATGATTCCACTAATAGGAAGATTAAAATCAAGTAAAACTAACTATAGCTGTTAAACATCAAGATAGTGGTTACTTTTGATGAAGAGCAGAAAAGAATAGTGATTGGTAGGACTTCTGACAATGCAGATGATGGTCCTTTCCTTAATTTGGGTGATGTTTAGGTGAGCGGGTTCACTTTGTGATTACTTACTGAGCTTTATGCTTATAATTTCTGTGATTTTCTGTACAAGTTATACTTCAATTAGGAAAGTTAAAAAGAGAGATCCATGGGCTTCCAGGGACAGATGTCCAAATTTTAAGCAAAAAGAGAAAGATGAATGAAGCCATTTATGAATTTATGAATAAAGTATGATCTCATTTTTAAAAATAAAATTGGGATATGTAAATATTTGTATGTGGGGAGATAGGTGGTAGAAAAGAACATTTCAAAGTGGGGATGAAGAATGAGATTGGGGAAAAGAAATATTTATCTCTTTTCTCTATATATTTCTCTATTATTTTGATAGAAGATGCATATTCCTTTGTAATTAAAATACAAATAAACATAAGAAATTAGAAATCAAAAATAAAATTTAAACATTAGATTCAATAATAATACAAGTTATTAAAAACTCAACATGGCACTTTTCATTTATTATTTTATTTAATTATCACAGGAGTTCTAATACTCACAGTAGTTACTCTCACTACCCCATTTTAACATATGGGGAAACAGGTTTAAAATAGTTAAGGACATCTAGCTACTAGGTAACAGAATCAAAAGTTAAAATTCATGTCAAGTTAATGCTGTTAATACCATGCTATCCTCAGCCTGTGGACAATAATGTACGTTTCTAATATGGTACTTATTACACTGAATAATTATCTAATAGCACTCCTACCAACCCCCTAAATCATTAGTCTTTGATGGCAAAGATTGTGTTTAATTATTGTTAACCAATAAAATATAAATCTACAATAATTACTAATATATTCTTTTTTTCTTAAAGGTAATGGGAATAATTGTGGAAAGCAGTTTCTTCATTTATTTCTTGTGGAAGGAAGGCCATCAGTTAAATATGGGTGTGGAAATTCTCAAAATATTTTGACTGTTTCTGCTAATTACAGCATTAACACAAATGCATTCACCCCTATCACAATACGGTAAGTACTGTACTCCACGGTAGTTCTTTCGTGCTGAAATTTTGTTTGTTCGTTTGTTTTGAGATGGAGTCTTGCTCTGTCACCCAGTCTGGAGCGCAGTGGTGTGATCTCAGCTCACTACAACCTCCGCCTCCCGGGTTCAAGCGATTCTCCTGCCTCAACCTCCCCAAGTAGTTGGGACTACAGATGTGCACCACCACGCCTGGCTAGTTTTTTGTTGTTGTTGTTTGTTTGTTTTAGTAGAGATGGGGTTTCACCATGCCGGCCAGGCTGGTCTCAAACTCCTGACCTCATGATTCATCCTCCTAGGCCTACCAAAGTCTTGGGATTACGGGCATGAGCCACCATGCCCGGCCTGAACTCTATTTTTTAAATGTTATTTACGTGTGTAACAGCCACCCAAAAGTGAAAAGAATTTTAAAAGTCCATCTGAAAATTGTTTTGTTTACTTTTTTATTTTTGCTTTTGTTTTACTTATTTTTATAATTTGGTGGAATGAACTACAAATTGAACTAAGCTATAATTTAATACTATCCTATGGGAATCAAATTGCACACAGAGTAAATCAATTTTATTTGAAAATATTATGGTGCAAGCAAATAAATTAAAGCATCAAGTTGTTCAGTTAAAACTAACATCCAGTTTTATTGTTCAACAAAATATCTATGGAGTACAGCTGCTAGGAATTGGTTAGTGGGAGCCATTGACTGCACAAAAAAAGAAAACTCAGTAGAAAAGAAAAACCAAAACCAACAGAATGTTAAACGGAAATGTCTTTCTGGATTATATAAATTTTTGGAAATCAGTCTTTGAATTCATTTATGCTTCAAAATTATAAAACATCAGAAAAGAGAAATTGCTAAATGATGATCACATCTCAGGGGCATTACTAAACAAAATTTACATGCAGCAACTAAGAATTCAAAATTTTTCATCAGTATAGCTCAAATTTTTCATATAGTAATAATGGTCTCCAAAGTTACTCTATGTCATTGAAAAATATTCTGTGACTGAGTTCGTCTTTAAAATGACAATTAGATAAGTTAGTCTGATCAGCAGGAATCTTGGCTAACCTATGAAGTTTATATAAATCAAATAAACTTTCTCTGAAACTGCATCAGTCTGAAAATCACATCAACAAAATGGACACCAATCTGAAAATGAAACTTCTTACAGGCAGAGATGGTTTCTTACTCATTTTTAATGCACTTAACAGGGCATCTGACAAATAGGAGATACTCAGTAAATGTCTGAATGAATGAAGAAATGAGGGTGTCTGGGCTGGGCAATTCATTTGCTTATAACAAGAAGGCAATGAAATTACTCTAAGGTAATGAAATCATTATTTGTAAATTACGTATACCCTTTGCAACACTGAGTTCTATACAGACAAAACAAACTCCTTCAGAGCAACAGACAAATATTTCAACCATTTCTAAGTGTTTGCTGTTGATCACTAAAAAGAACCAGATGAGAAGCTAAATAACAGAAAACTGTTTAAAAGGCATTTCTATTAATAAGAACATCATTTTATACAATGTCAACAATTTATACAAACAATAGTACTTTCAGTTATACATGAAATAATTGCTATTCGGGGGTTAAATTCTTAGAGAAATGATTTTCTTCTTTACTTTTAAGTAATAACTTAATAGAGCAGTCCTCAAACCATTCAGATTCTGAGATAGCCTCAGGAAAAAAACAACCTGTAAAATAAATATTGATGCTTCCAGTAAAACTGAAAAGGACTTTCCAAGTGTTTAGATTAATTTTATCAAAACTTAAGAAAGTAAAAAGGAGATATCCCTATGAATGTAAAAATGCAAATCTGCTCTGTGTTATAGGCAATAGCCTACAAGAGCTCAAAGTGAGAGTAGGCTGACCCTAGGACTATATATTACATATTATATATCATTAATTTAAAACTGTTGAGTGCTCATCTGCTAAGCATGCTCTCGATGTCTTAATATTTGCATCTCATTTTTCTGTTTCTCCTGGTTTTGTTCTATATTTAGTTTCATATATTCATTTAACAAATGTTTCTTACTCTACTTGTAGCACTATACTAAGCTACTAGAATTCAATGGTAAGCCAAAACAGAAAAAAAAACTAATTCTTATGTGTATATGGTTTAGTGAGGGTGACTGACAAGTAGACACACTAATAAAGGAATAATTTGAGATATGTTGTTAATGAAAGAAACATGATGCAGGAAGGCTTAAAAAAGTAACCTAGCCTGTGCTAGAGAGACCAAAGAGCTTTAAAAATGAATAGAGATAAACTTAGTAAAAGAAAACACAGGCAAAGCAGTGGTTATGAGTTTCAGGCAAGGGAAGAGTACATGAAAAAACCATTTGGGAGGTGGCTGGATCACCTGAGGTCAGGAGTTCAAGACCAGCCTGGCCAACATGGTGAAACCCCATCTCTACTAAAAATACAAAAAAATTAGGCATGGTGGCACGTGCCTGTAATCCCAGCTACTCAGGAGGCTGAGGCGGGAGAATCCCCTTTGAACCCAGGAGGCAGAGGTTGCAGTGAGCCGAGATCCTGCCACTGCACTCCAGCCTTGGGATCAGAGCAAGACTCAATCAATCAATCTATCAATAAAACAAAACCCTATGCTAGAAAAAACCATGGCATATACAGATTCAGAGACCGCAAAGAACAGCGTGTTTTGAACAGAGAAGCAGAAGAGGGTGCCTTAGTAATGAAAAACAAAGTTTGAAAGGTAGACAGTTTGCAAATGCTGTCTGGCCTTGCAGCTATGTTAAGGAATAATTGAGGAAGCCAGTTAGAGGGTTACTGTATATCCAAGTAAGATATAATGGTGGCTTGGACTAAAGTGACATATTTATGACATAATTAGGAGCAAAATGACTCATTAAATACTAGGAGTGAAAATAGAGGTGTCAAAAACTAATATTCATTTCCTTATGTGCAATTGGATAGCAGATCATCCACAGAGATAATAATAAACAATGCAAGAAGAGCAGGTTAGATTGAGAAGATCGTGAGTTTAAGTTTAAGCATGCTGAGATTAAGGTGCCTTTGAAATACAAAGTGGAATTTTCCATTGAATATATGGAAGTAAAGGTCAGAGAAGGGATCTGGTTGGAAAATATGAATTCATGAGTCATCACTGTGCAGACGATAATTGAAACCATGGGAAAGGATGAGAGTATACAGTAGAAAAAAATTGCCTAGAATGACTCTTGATGAGCTAACATTTAATAACTGTATACTGAAAGATGAAATCATAAAAGAGTCTGACAAGGAGTAAGTAGGAAGTAACAGCCAAAAAAGGAGTAGAGTGTCATGGAAGGCAATGGCAAAGTTTATCGAATGCTCCAGTCCACTGGACTGTCCACATGATTCCATGACCTGAAGACTTCAGTGTAGCAGGATAGAGGAAGAAGCCCGATTAGAGAAAAATCAAGGTAATATGTATATACAACTCTTTGAAGTTTTAATTTGGAAGTATAAAAAGAGGTAAAGTGAGGAATCAAGAGAAAAAAATGTAACATGAAAGAAATTTCAGTGTGTTTAATTAATTGGAATTACCAGTTGAGTAGAAATTGTTAATACATAGAAAACTGATGAAAAAGGGAGAACATAAGTTTCTTCTTCTTTTTTTTTTTTTTTTTTTGAGTTGGAGTTCTGCTCTTGTCCCCCAGGTTGGAGTGCAATGGTGCGATCTCGGCTCACTGCAACCTCCACCTCCAGGGTTCAAGCGATTTTCCGGCCTCAGCCTCCAAGCAGCTGGGATTACAGGTGCCCACCACCACGCCTGGCTAATTTTTGTGTTTTTAGTAGAGAGGGGGTTTTGCCATGTTGGCCAGGTTGGTCTTGATCTCCTGACCTCAGGTGATCTTCCCACCTCAGCCTCCCAAAGTGTTGGGATTACAGGTGTGAGCCACCAAGCCTGGCTGAGAACATAAGTTTCTTAAAAGTTTAGGCCAGTAAGATACAATGTACATGAGAGAAGATTCCTGCCAGAGGGCAGGGAAAATAGAGATACATAGCTTGAGGCTTCTGATTCCTGTCATTGTGGATGTCCCTGGATTTACGATTGCCTTTGCTTTATCTGTCCAGTTGTTTATGTCACCTTCTCTTGCTGTCTCATCTGTTTAGTCTTACTTCATCATTAACTGGGCAAAATTTAGAATTTAAAGGTCTTTTGGTACGGCTTTTTCCAACTTAATTCTCACTAACAAAACTCTCACTATGCAAATGCAGGGTAAATTTCTCCCTAAAAAGCATGTGAGTTAGGTTCCTTTTTCATCATATGAATGTTGACACGATGTCTTCAATATTAAAGTATTTCTTGACAATAAAAAAAATAGCATGATGGCTAAAAACTTTTTTTTTTTTTTGAAAGAGTCTCGCTCTGTTGCCCACGCTCCCACTGCAACCTCCAACTTCCAGGTTCAAGTGATTCTCCTGCCTCAGCCACCCAAATAGCTGGGATTACAGGCGTGCGTCCCCACACCTGGCTAACTTTTGTATTTTTAGTAGAGAACAGGTTTCTCCATGTTGGCCAGGCTGGTCTTGAACTCCTGACCTCAGGTGATCCACCCTCCACGGCCCTCCTAAAGTACTGGGATTACAGGCATGATCCACCATGCCCAGCCTAATAAAAACTTATTTTCAAAAATTAATAAACCATAAGCCCAACTTGTAAAATATGGCTTTATTTTTTGTTATTAGCTATTATTTTTTATTCTGTTATTAGCCAGTACTTCCTCCAACTAAATCTATCTTACATCTGTAGGACAGAAGGGAGAAGTAGAACAAACTTGAATAAGCCACTTGTAGTGACTGAGGTCAATTCAGTATCAAGGTAGAAGTTCTTCTTAAATGAAATGGAGCAGAGATCACAGTTCTACAGGTACACTGTAATTCATACTCATGCACAGTTTGTCTTTCATTTCAGCGAATTTTGAAAGGGATCACATAGAGAGAGCTATTGGTTTTCACAAGGGTTATTCTCTTTTGGGGAAGTTCAGAAAAATTGTCTTACTATATATATACACTTTTTTAAGTTTCTGAAGTTTAAAATTTTCTGGCACCTTTAGTGTCTGTTTTACACAAAAGCTAACTTTTACCCAGTATTCTATTCTCTAAAAAAGCCCTGTGTCCTTTATTCTAGGTGATTTACTGTGTTATCTGCATGTTTTAAAGGCACATAGCCTATTCCCCCTTCCTTAGATGCTACTAACACTCCTGAGAACATTTCCTCAAAGATTTATCCAGAGGTATAAAGTTATCCATGTCTATTGAAGGTACACCCTAATACCTAATAATTTATTTTGGTTAGCAAACTCTTAGGGTAGCCAAAGTGGGATGTTGGCCAAGAACTGTATTACTGCCAGAGCAACACATCTCCAATAGCCACTTTTTAATAGCTCGGTGTAAAGAAATGCATGGTTTAAGATCATCTGGACAGAGGCTGGAAAAGTTTCTAATAGTTGGGCAGCAAGAACCCTTATTAGTATTTGCTAAAACCCAAACATATGTCAAGTGAAATCATTGTAGACATATTTATCACATTACCTTTGATAATATTTGGTTCAGAAAACAAAATAAAAACTGCTAAGTTTTATAAAAGGACTAATTTTTATCTCCTGTTGACGTCTCCATGTCTATGGGATAAAACCTCATACATATTATATATGTAAATTGGTGCAGATTTTTTAAAATTCATTTTAATTAGCTCATTTCTCACAGTTGTTTAAGAAAGAAATTTATTGTAATGCAAAATCCGCATTAACTTCACAAAATGGGAAGAATGATTCTGAGTAGGATTGATTTTGGTCATATCAAATTAAGATATTAGTAAGTAATTTATAGAAAATAGACTACTTCTTATAATACCCATATTTAATTTGTTAAAGGCTCTCAGACACCTCTGCTCAACATCAGATTCCAGTTATCTGCCCTTTCCCCACATATATCCTCTGCATTGCAGCTTGCTTGACCAGATGGTATTGACCTATAACTCAATATGGAGAATGAGCAAGAGACCATTCAATTTCATTTAAGAAAAAAGAATATCCATACTCTATTATCTATAATTTTGACAGTAATTAAAAATGTTACCTATGTTTCTAATTTTCTAAAATATATAAAAACTTTTCACATGTTCCTGGTAGTTAATATTATATAAGCTATGGATTGCATGCTGGTAGTCTTAGAGCCAGGAAACTATGTGAGAGCCTTCACTTCTTGAAACAGATGGTGACTTTTGAATTGTGCTAAATCTATAAGATATTAGATTTATTCATAAAATGTTGCCATGTCAATATGGAAAGTTTGGCAAGATTTTCATATTAAAAAGGTCAAACTTCATCACTTCAATATTAATTTGTGTATCTTTTTATCAGCTCTTCCATCTGGTATTTCTTAGAGGAAATGCAGGAAAACTCAAGCTCAATATGAGAAATATAGGTAATACTTTATCATTATATTGGCATGTGTGTAAATATATAAAGCTAAACATTACTCTTGCACCTTTATCCATGCATAGCCTGTCTGTACATAGCATACATAAAAACTAGCTGAATAGCAAGTTACAATGCAGTTTATTTGTATTAAATTGTGAAGATCTACTGTAAAACTAAAATTTCTTTTATTACATAAGCTTAAGAAAATCTTTAAAAGATATCTATGAATCTGTAAGTTGGTAATTTTAGTACTATTTTGGATTATTGGATAGAATGTTCTACTATATAAAGTTGTCTCTAAAATTTGCCCACTTCTTGAGAAACGTGGAAGTATTAGTTTGGTGTTTATTGATTCAAAAATAAATAAGGTGGAGCATCTCAGTCTGAATGTGAACCTGAGTCTACAGAGTATCTTTATGGAATAATATGCCAGTGGACTCTACCAGCCAGTTTGATGTTTAAAAAACATATTTGAAGTGACTTGACTCTGTAATCACATTTGTGCCTTTTAATTGTGCAATTCACTTCAAATTGTCAAAACAGAATGGCAATTAGCAAAATTTAAAAAGTCAAGACTTAGGGCCCAAATCCTCATCTTACCAAATGCCAAGATGAGATGACAGAGAACTGGTTGACCCTCAAGTTCTGAGAGCAACCACAAAGACCCTACTGAAGAGAAAGGGACAGGTGGCAAGTACATCTATAATATAAAATGAAAAATGAACTCCATTTTGAAGATTAGAAATTTATCAGGGGACAACAGATGAAAGAGGATCTGCAAAGATATCAAGGTGTAGATAATAACATGCTCATGGAAGAAAATGTATGATGAGAACAAAAAGTTCCAGGTGAAAGGATGTTTAGCTCTTCAGTAAGTCACCATCAAACACTGTCATTTCTAATGCAGAGGATAACAAATAAAAATAAAAGGCAAGAAATGTTTTGAGCACTAGCTGTGTATGCTAAGACTCCAGATTTTCTTCATCCTTTATAATTAGTGGTAAATTTCTACCACTGTCAGAAAAGACTATTGAGGAAGTTTAAATTATTTTTGTGCAGTGGCAGAGTATACAGCAAAATAAACTTCAATTCTTAAAAGCCTTCTAATTCTAAAATGTGTATAGTTTACCACTTTCAAGACAAGATTTTGACAGTTATAAGAAAGTAAGGTGAAACAAATGAAGACTTAGGGGCAAATTAAATTTATAAAAATTGGGGCAGAATAGCAATAATTGATGGGGGTCAGAGAACACTCTGGCATATAGCACAGTTAAATAACAGGATTTAACATGTTGAAAAGTAAGATTCAGGGGAAACATCAAGAAATTTGTTAATTAAGTGATGAAGTGGTGATTTAACAATACATTTATATTTTGTATATTTTTCCTTCCACTTCTGTAGTCCCCCTAGCTCTCCTTAACTGGAATTTATCATTATGGTTAGAGAGTATTTGATTCCTGCCTTAAAATGACTATCAGGAAAGAGACTTTATTGTGAAAAACTTTTTGAAGCCTATTCTTAGTGGTAGAGCTCAATCCTTGGAAACATTTTTCTCAATTAACTTCTTTAGAATAATTCTCACTGAGTTCACTCAAAATATAGACCATTCTATTTTTTTTTTTTTAAGAGGTTTAATGGACTCACAGTTCCACATGACTGGGGAGGCCTCACAATCATGGCAGAAGTTGAAGGAGGAGCAAAGGCACATCTTACATGGTGGCAGGCAAGACAACATGTGCAGGGGAACTGACCTTTATAAAACCATCAGATCTCCTGAGACTTATTTGCTATCATGAGAACAGCACAGGAAAACCCTCCCACTGGGTCTCTCCCACAACATAGGAAGATTATGAGACCAGCCTGGGCAACATGGTGAAACCCCGTCTCTACGAAAAATTAGCTGGGTATTATGGTGTATGCCTATAATCTCAGCTGCTTTGGAGACTGCAGTGGGAGGATCATCTGAGCCTGGGAGGTTGAGGCTGCAGTGAGCCAAGGTCGTACCACCAAACTCCAGCCTGGGTGACAGAGTGAGACTCTGTCTCAAAGGAAAAACAAACAGATTCAAAAATTAGCTGTCTTTGAACTTAAATATTAAAGTATGCTAATATATGAAAGTAATATGTTTGATTTTTGAGTGTGAAATAAGAATAAAAATTAAAATAGCTTATGAAATTCAAATAATTTTTACTTATTAGTGGTTTATAATTACTGTGAAAGGTATATGAGCTAAACAGACAAACAGCATACTTGTTTAACAATTAGACAGTGGTTAATTCATAAACTTCTAATCAGACATCTCTCTTTGGATAGTAGCTCTGGCATTCTTTCCAAAAGTTTACTTTTTAAAAATGAAATGTTAGAAAGCTATTGTTTTGGAAATGCATAATTCCAAAAGTAAACCTTGCTTTTGAAAAATTGAAATTGTTATATGTGAAGGTGGATTATAATAACAGAGCATCATTGTTAATAAAAACACATTTGAGACCATTCTATTTTTAAAAAAAAAAAAAAAACCTTACTTTATAAATGAAGCTAAAGGAAGCTATGCCAGATTCCTCCTCAACAAGTTGCTCATGCTTCATCAATATATGAATAAAATGTAGGTATATGTTGATATAAATTGTTTTACAATTTAACATCTGAACTCTTTTCCACCCAACACTATTCAGTTAAGAGTAATTTAATGCTTTTTAAAAGATTTACCAATTTTCTTTAAAATTGAAAGCCTGTTCCATAGACAGGTACTGGTATTGAGCCAAAGTGTTTGAACTCAATAAATATAGAACAAAGACTTTTAACATTTCTTCAGATAATTTATTCTAATGCCATCATAAGACACAGTAAATTTCTGTTTTATGCTATTTGAGATAGAATTCTGTCCTGGTCCCTCTTACTTTTTAACTTTCTATTAGCTGGCCTAATTCTAATTGCCAGTAATATCAGAACTCCATCCTGCCCTTCAAAGACAAAATGTTACAAAGATAAAAAGGAGGAGATTGCAGGACAAAGCCCTATACCAATTACCATAAAACAGGAATTTACTGTGCCTCATGATGACATTATGTTCACAGTACCCAGTGGCATCTGCTGATCTACATAGGGGCTGGTTAGACACCTAAGTACAGCTCCCACCATTTGAAGTGCAAAAATTTCCAGTCAAATGCAATGGACAAGATAGACTCAACCATGCCCTGAGAATCCCTTCCCCTCTACCCAAGGAATAAAATACCAAAGGAACATTCTCCTGTTTGCGTGGTAATAGCAGTGTCACTCATCCCTTTCACTAGGGTGCAGTAGCAGAAATTAGGTTGAAGGAGAATCCCAATTCGTCTGGCACCTTAGCCTCAGGGAAAGTAATAGAAACACAGTTCCAGTTTGGTGTAGCCTCTTAGAATGGGATTATATAGAATTCTTAGAATAGGAAATGTAGGAATGTAATAGGAATGTATTCTCAGAATAGGAAAAAGTAAAGTCTTGGATTGATGATGCACAGAAATCACCAACAGGCGAATCTGATACTTGGCACACATGTGCAAACAAGTCCTGAGGATTTCTAAAAATCTTTGGAGAGGGAGAGTCTATAATGGATTGTAATTCCTGAAGTTAAGAGTGTGTATTCTCAGCCCCTGAAACTTAATAACTGCATCTTAGGTCAAATTCCTTGGAAACAGTCTGTGCCATGGAGATTTGCATGCACAAAGTTTATTAGAGAATGCTCTTAGTAACAAATACTTGGAAGGCAGTGAGGGAAACAGGAGCGAACAGAGGCAAAAGTTGAATTGCAAAGTAGTTGCACCAGAGGCCTCAGCTGTCTGTAAGGGGAGTCTGGACTTGAGATGTTCATATTTTCCTTAATTTAGTCAAGAGGACCAGGCCTTTGCATCCCCCTCATCCCGAGGGGCCTCTGGGCAGCATACCACAGTATTCACCGTAACTGATTGAGGCTGATGGCTACAATCCGCACTTACTGGCTGAAGAAGCCTGAGACATTTGGGTTTGACTTACACGTAAGCAATGTTTTTAGATAAACTAGGCAGGTATCCCCACACCCACTATCGCCCTGCCATAGTAACCAGGGAGCTAAATTCCCTGTGTTAGCGACTGTTCTCTGTGTTCTACTGTTTCTTACGAGGAGTGACCCAAAGAAACAGTGACGCTTCAGAAGAACAGCTAAATACTCATCATACCAAAACCACAAAATTCTAATTGTATAGATGTGCATCAGCAGGGACACATGTAACTCCAAATAATGCCACTCACTGATATATCATTAGAACATACAGCACAGCCCAAGTAGGGTATACCTGGGTATAGAACAAAAGAAGGAATCTTTATAGATTCATTCTGCTTCAAAATGAAGGCACAGGACACGTAAAAGGCAGAATCCTGCGAGTGGGGAAGTGAGGAAGCAAAGCACTCTTTGTATAACTACAAAGGATCTTACATGTTTCTTTTTTGAAACAAAGATAATAACACTCATTTTTCTGCTATATAGGCTTCTGTGAATATCATGTATACGAAAGTGCTTTAAAAAACATCAAGTATCCCTCAAACGAAAGTATTATTGTTATGGTTTTTCACACACACATACACCTATTTCTTCTATTGCTGCTGTAGGACTAGAAAAAAAAATGCTCACTACTTTTTATTTTACAGCATCTTATTAAAAACACTTCATAATTAGGCAGTTAGCAGAGTGACTAATCCACTATCCTCTGGGGCAAATGTCTTTGAAGGTTCTTGCTTGTTAGGCTTGTCTTCCTTTGCAGCTTCATAAATGGGAAAGTGATAGTCCTGGAGCTGTAAGAGGCCAAGCTCCAGGAGGGTCATGCCTCTCATCTGTACTACAGTAAGCAGATCTGTTTCCATGACATTAGGAAAGAAAACTGTCCAGATGATTGTGAGGTGGATAAATAAGTGTCTGTTAAGTTTTGGGCCTGTTACGTTTAAAGCATGTGCTGAAAACTTCACTTGCATTACAGTAATCTCATTTAGTCATTTCTTCATGTCCATTAATAGCTATGTAATACATATTTATTTTGCACTTATGTGACAGCCACCATGAAATATTTTTATACACTATCTCACTTATTCTTTATAATATCTTTAAGGGGTAGTTATTTTTCTGATACTCATTTAAGAAGTGAGGAAACTGGGACTTAAGGAAATTAGGTAATTATCTAAAGTCATTCAACTATAACTAATTGAAACAGGGTTACTACCTAGGCCATTTTACTCTAGAGCCCTTATATTTAACCATGCTATACAACTCATTCCTGAAATATTCTTTAAATGAGGTCACTCTCAAATCAAATCAACAATAGAAAACCTCCCCTTTCTCCATCATTTATCATTTTATGAACAAATCATGTGTCTTATAATCAAGCTTTTTTCTCAGCTCCTTCCACCTTTATCCTCCTCTAATACCCAAGTCTCATGGGCTTGCCACTCCATTGAAGCCATAATCTCTACTGTCCCAAACAGAGTCCTACATTTTCCTACCACATGCATTGTAGCTAGTAATACAGCTCCTTCCTAAATATTCTGGGTTTTTTTTCTATGAAATTGTACCTTATGCTTTCTGCAAGCCATTCACCTTCTGAAAGCTAGCCTAGACTGGTCCCAACTCATACTCAACTCCTTTGCTGTCAATTCCCAGCATGCTCATGTCTTGTAAAGGATTTTTCTATTGATTTTTTGTTATCTCATCTCCAAAATCAAACCATAAATGGTACAGGATCTCTTCCTTTTCACTCATGTAAACTACTATAAGAATGCTAGGAATAAAGTATGTATTTATTAGAGATAATCCCTAAGGCCACATGTGAAACTAAATCAACACAATATAAACAAGTATATAAGGGTTGAAATGTTATAGTCAGAAGAAAATCAATTATACAGACTTCACCATAGAAATCTTACTAAAAGGGATTAGTTAAGTATGTAAAGGCCATGGAAATTTAGCTTTATAGAGAGATTATTTGCAGTAGGTTTGCCACATGCAAATATACAAATAAAATGCTCATACAAGAAATTAGAAAATTGGCTCAAACCTAATGAGAACTCTAAAAGTTGCAAAAAAGGAAATGGCATTAGTAGAGGGCCTTCAAGGTTAAATGGAGAGGCTGTTCATTCTAAGTTTTTTCTTAAAGAAAATGCCTAAATTATATTAATGATAAAATAGCTATCACTAATTAAGCTCTTACTATTGTCTAAGCATACTTCTTGGTCTTCACCTGTAGTTAATTATTTACACCTGTATTTAATTATTATTTCTAATATCCACCCAGTGAGTTACTATTATACTTATTTTAAAGAAGACAACATTGAGGCACATAAGCCAGAGGACACTGAAAAATCACACAGAAGTTTTCAAAGTCAAGAAATTTGAATCCAGAGTCTAACTCTAATCACTACTCAATATTGCATGGTCTATATTACAGGCAACAAATGAAGTTAAAATCTCTTATAATTTACATTTCATGAAAACCTTAAGAAATATTCAAAATTTTCTTATGTTTTTAATTCTAAAATATGCTTTATAAAATTACTGAACATAATTTTGGAAGCTCAACTGTAATAAAAATTAAAAATGTATAAAATCTAAAACTTTTATTTTCTAGTTTCACTTATATGACTGCCATTTTTCTATTAGAAATTTCACACAATAAAATTTAGCAAAAGTTTTATTCTAATTTTGATAATATATTGAAAGAAACATGCAATTGGTATGTCATCTATAAACTCTGGAATTTCAAAAAAAGGGGGTAGAAAAAGTTATTTTTACTTATCCCACAAAATATGTATGATAAATTTAAACATATTTTAAAGTTGTTTATAAATTATTATATGCTGCTATACTTATTATAAATCAAAAATTTTAATGTATTTGCCATTATGAAAAAAGCCATGTATTAGTCTGTTCTCACGCTGCTGTGAAGAAATACCTGAAACTGGGTAATTTATAAAGAACAGAGATTTAATTGACTCACAGTTCGGCATGGCTGGGGAAGTCCTCAGCAAACTTACAGTCATGGCAGAAGGCACCTCTTCGCAGGGTGGCAGAAGAGAGAATGAGTGCAAGTGGGGAAATGCCAGACGCTTATAAAACCATCAGACCCCGCGAGACTTACTCACTATCAGAGAACAACATGGGAGAAACCACCGCCATGATTCAATTACCTCCACCTGGTCCCGCCCTTAACACGTGAGGATTATTACAATTCAGGATGAGATTCAGGTGGAGACACAGAGCCAAACCATATCAAGCCATAACATTCTATTACTTAAAAATTGTTAGGCTATAATTGGTAAGTACTGTTTAAAAAGTGTTTAGAAAATATTTTTTTCATCTTAGAAAATTACATGGATCAATTATAGTTCTATTGTAGACAAATTCCATAAATGCAGGAAAGTTTAGCACATTCCCCTTCTATCTAATACAAGGAGGTATGTTATACTAAAATGAATATTTATTTCTAATTAAAAGACTGATGCAAGTTGATATGCTAGTTTTCAGATTTTTCTCAACCAAGATTACTAATTATTATTTGAGCAAACAGTTGCTTTAAAATACCACATGTGAGTTGCTCAAAAGTATGTCTAAGTGCTTAATTAAAAAGTTTTCATTGCTGGGTTTATTCCTAGGCTCAGGAATAAGAGGAGTGATTTTTTTATTACATTTGATGACTCTAACTGATCCACTGAGAAAATAGCAAATTTTATTTCTATACTATTTTAATGGTCGAAAATAATTAAGAAGTGTTGTCACAAAATATGTTTACTTTTTTCTAAAATATTTAAATGTAAGATTGAAAAGTTACATTAACAATAATGTAGTTCAATCCCCTCATTTTTCTGATGAAGAAACTTCATGCCTGAGAAGAAAGGAGACTTGCATGGAGCCACATGACTCAAGGACAAAATGAGAAAGTTAGAACAACTAGATGAACATTTGGCACTCTTTCCCCTGCACCCATCTTTTATATCTATTATTATAGGTGACATATGGCTACCTTTATCTTTCCCCTCTCTGTGACCTGTGTTTTACTTCCTATTATATATAAAGAAAAGAGCTATCAGTTGTTTGTTCATTATGCCAGGCCTTCAGAACACCTGACTCTTTTCTTTGTGAAAGGATCAAGAAATCCAAATCAAATAACTCCTCTTTTTCAAACCTGACCTGGAAGACTTCTGTTTATAAGAACAATCATGCTCATTTATCTGGTCATCATAAGTGAAAATTAGTGATCTTGACTAACACAAAGATCACAGAATCTTAATTTTAAAAAACTATGGGCAAGTCACTATTCTTATCCCTAATGCATATGGGATTTATCTAAAATCACCTTAAAGCTTGATAGTATTAGCTAAATTTTAACAGTAATGGGAAATTGCTATTCCAGGAAGCATCCTATTCCGTTCTACATTGATAGACCCTGTACATGTTAGGGATTTGTTTACATTAAGGAAAGGTATTTTTCCTTGCAATTTTGTGTGCATTAGTCCTCTACCTGTTCTTCTAAGAAAAAAAGAAAGGACACATATAACTCTATAAATTTATCTTCCTGTTTCTACTTAACTGTCCTTAACAATTTCCTAATCATGAAATATAAACTCTATGCAAGCAGGACTAATGTTTTTAATCACTATTTCTCCACAGCACTTAATGTAGTGCTAGTATACAGTATGTGTTTAATAGATATTTCTCAAATGAATGAAGCAAGTTTTGTTATCTTCCCTGTGTTTTTTCTATAAACAAAATACTCCCAGCTCCTAACCCATTTTCAACAACATGACTTGGGAAATCCTCACCTTCCTAACTATTCCCTACATTCATCATTCAACGTATCAGCTACCAGATAATCTATCAGAGACAATGGAATTCAGTATTCCCCTTATAATATAAAAATGCATAACAAAAGTGAGATTATAATATGCTCAAACAAGAATGAATTCACTTTTCTCAATATTCAGATCATTCAGATTGTGATTTTAGCCAGCTAAGTCCGTATGTCTTTTTAACATAAACTGCCTTAAATTATTTAAGTTGCTTAGTCATACTGCCAGATTTTACCACTTTCATAATATGTAAACATCCTCAAGAGATTTAACACATTAAGCAAAGTTCCCAATCATTCACAGCTTGTGGTCAATTGCTTCCATCAGATATAATTTTCTCCTAACCCCTAGCTGAGAGAGCAGCATGCTGAAGGAATGGAAGTTTGCAGAGATGGAGTGAATGATTTTGTAACTTGTGGCACTGCCCAGAAAGTCAAGTTTGAGTACAGCCCCCAGTACTAGGAAAGAAAGAAAGAAAAGAGCCAGGGTGAGAGTTTAACACAGTAAGGGCATTTAGGATAACACTGAAACAAATTTTTTCCCTATTCATGTATTTTCAGTATACATGATTCAGTACATTTTAATTAGGAGTCTACTATGAGTCAGGTACTATAAGACCCTCTAGTTAAGAGGAGAAGGGAAAAATGTGTTTCTGACATTATGAAATTTTAGCCTACTAAGACAAATGTAAGAAACAAGTAAACAAGTATATAGTTAGTCATTTTGAAAAATGTCCCAGGTAAAATAGAATTCAGAGATACAACATAATGGCAGGGGGTGGGAGGGATTCAATAAAAGAGTCAGGAGAGAATTCCAAAGAGGGGATGATCAGAGATACTTGGATGAGAAGAAGCCTGTCATTTGAAGAATGAAGGAATGTATGTGGATGTGGATATGAACATAAATATATCTCTGTTAAAGAAAGAAGGCAGGGTGAATAATGACTGCTATAATAACATGTTTTAAAAAGTGTTACCAAATCTGAGAAGTACTGTGACTTTCTTTCCCCTAATAAGATGTCAGAAACTCACTGCCTACACAGGTTCAGGAGAGCAGCCTTCTTGCAAATTCATCGTCTGCCTGGGCCCAAATTGTCTACCTGGAGTGTGTGCTGGCTCTGTAAGGAGTTGAATTTCCACCCACCTGGGTGCAATGGAACAGGCTGTCACAGGCTGCTGCACATGAACCCCGTTTTTATGACTATTTTATAACCTCATTTCTATCTGTCTTCAGAAAAACTAGAATATCCATCTGTTGTTTCTGCAATATCAATGTTCTTAGTATTTTAGTCAATCAGATGGTGCCCTGTCTAGTTTCTCCGCCAAGTGCCTCCTTAGACTTTGCCTGAACACACTCCTAGGATATATTTGAGAGGTCACAAGTTGGGCTAATACAAGCTACATACAGGGATGTCTTTTCCAAAAGTCTGTAAAACACACCCACCTCTATCTGCCTCTAAGCCACCAGAGACCACTCATCTGGGCTTAAACACCTTTAGTTTCTAATGCTTTTCAAAGTGGTACCTAAATTCAATCCAATGGGAAAGAATTGAACATGTATGATGTGGTCAGTACTCTGCTGGGTGCTATGGAGTATAGAAAAGTTAATCACCAAAATATTAAAAATATTAACTGTAGTGATAAGCATGCTAAAGTATGCCTTAGCATACAGTGAAATGTGCTCATCTCTGCAACTTATTTTGCAATTTAAACAGAAAATAAGGTGAAGAGATGGATGAATAGAGGGATATATATGTGATAGTGCAAATATAGCAAAATGTTAATCAAATACAGCAAAATGTTAATTGTAGGATCTAGGTAGATACATGACTGTTTACACTGTGAAATCCCTTTAACTTTTCCGTATGTTTAAAATGTTTGACAATAAAATATTGGGGAAAAACAACTGATCACTGTTTATGTGAACCTTACCATTCAGCTAAATACTCACACAAAATAACTACTATACTGTGAAGTACTGATTGTAAGTGCCATGGGAATTCAGAGAGAAATCAACATAAATTGACATATGAGGAAGTTGGGCCACTTGAGATTTGAAGATGGTATAGGATTTTCAAAGATAAAGTGGGTGAGAAAGAGCATTTCAAGTGAGAGAAACAGCATGAGCAAACATCTAGGGGGGGAAAAGAATGGCAGGAGAATGACTGAACCTGGTAGAGAATAGTCAGAATAATTGGAAAACCTAGTGGAGCTACATATGACAGGTCACGGTGGGTGGAAAAAAATCTGTGGTTCCTTCTTTTAAGAAGTTGATAATATTTAGTATCAATCAGAGGAAACAGAAACCAGATTTCCAAAAGAGTGGTCATATAGTCATATAAAAATGAACAAAAAAAAATGACTAGATGAACATGGGCACTTCATAATACTTCAGACCTCCAGGTAATCATGAATCTGATGATGTAAAATAATTAAATGAAAAACATTTGAGCCCACCTTTATCACCATGATTTTATTCTACTAGAGAAGTTAGATGCCATGTTTGTACTGGGGCCATTTGAATCCCTCCTTTCCCATGACCAAGGTTTCTACAACTTTAGCTTTTCTAGGCCAGCTCAGGTCACAGCACGGATGACTATGACAAGGCACGGTCATTTTCCTCCCTCATATACCACATCCCCTCACCCAAGCACAGAGCCATGCAGAACCAAAGTCACAACGGAAACAACTGAATGGAAAGTTATGGAGTAGCTCAAGGATCAAAATAAATTCTCCAGAACCACATTCAGAAACCACAGAAATGGGTGTGTGTCCCTGAGATCCAGATCATTCTCTAGAGAGATACATTCCAACAGTTGTCATCACCACTTAAAATTCAAAATCAAGGCCGTGCGCAGTGGCTTACACCGGTAATCCCAGCACTTTGGGAGGCTGAGATGGGCAGATCACCTGAGGTCAGGAGTTTGAGATCAGCCTGGCCAACATGGCAAAATCCCGTTTCTACCAAAAATACAAAAATTAGCCGGGCATGATGGCATGCATCTGCAATCCCAGCTACTTGGGAGGCTGAGGCAGGAAAATCACTTGAACCTGGGAGGCAGAGGTTGCAGTGAGCCAAGATCGCACCACTGCACTCCAGCCTAAGCAACAGAGTAAGAGTCTGTCTCAAAATAAATAAATAAAATAAAATAAAATTCAAAATCAAGGGAGAGTACATCTGAGGAGACCAGCCTCTGCTGCAGCCCACCCCTTGGCCAGAGGACGGTCACCTTAATGATAGTTCCCACCAATGCGATATTCAGTAGGGACACGTAGTTTGTCCAAGCAAGTGACTTAACCTTCTAAGATGCACCTGAAAGGGGAATAATAGCAGTATCCACCTCACAGAATTGTGCAAGGACCAACTGAGATGAAAATAATAGAAGGGAACTCACATGGTGCTTATTATGTGACAAACACTCTTCTGAATATTTTGCAAATACTAAGTCACCTAATTCTATAAACAGCTCTTTGAGACTTATGTGATTAAACTTTGCAACTCACATTTTAAAATTTAACTCAAAATTAACATGAAACAATTATCATTCTGTCAGGCATTTTTATGCCTGAGTTCTGCACGCCCATCAAGTATATGTCTCTAAAAGCATCCACTTGAAAATTTGAGCCTGTTTATTCATTTCTCATTTTGTAGATTCTGTCACACTTTTTCCCTACCGCACGTTGATATAATCAGTTTTTGTGTTTCTGTTGTTTTTTGCTGATGATGGTCCCATTTGTTTCTCTCTCTTTGCCTACAGATCATTTTTAATAACAACCTCTGGTCTCCTAAGTGGAATTATTGAATTATTACTTCTCCTCACCAAAATAGTTTATAATATAATTACCACAATTTTATCTTGTTTTTTTTTTAACCTAATGACACACTTTAAAATTAGAGATGGGAATTGAAAAACATCTTTACCTGGGGAAAAAGGTGCCTAATTTTAATACTTGGTTAATTTCAAATATGGAATAATGAGAGGGGGAAAAAAAGTCATTAGGTGAAATATCCTTGGTGTCCCATGTTATCATTAACACTTAGCACAGCATATTATGAGAATAAAGGGAATTTGCAGTGACTAGCAAGCTAAGCCTGACCTCTGCTCTACAACCTTCAAAGAGGAGAGAGAATGTAAAGCTAACCCTGACCTCTGTCCTACAAACTTCAAAGAGAATGGAAAATGTATAGAGCCACAGACCTACTGACAGACTATACCTCATTCCTAGGGGAGGATCTGGAGGTAGTAAATATGGAAACAATTTTTCAGGCAAAGAAATATTCTGATGGTAAGAAATATAATCGAATGTGAATATCAGTGTGTGATGTGCTGACTGGATGAAGTTTATTTAGAGAAAAGGCAGCACTTACAATTCAGTTGTCCTCTTGTTTTTAAAGACACTTAGGCAGCTTTTGAAAATACTATTCCCCTACCAGGACACTGTTTCTCCCTCAGTAAAAAGAAAGGAAATAAATTCTATTGTGTTTCTGGTTGAAAAAAAAAAAAGAATAAAGCTTGAGCCTCCTTTCAGGTCAAATTCATGCTTCAGAATTAAGTTAAGATGTAGAAGATGGTAGGCACAAGCCAGCATGTGTCCTCCCAGCTCACTGCAAGATGCTCATAAAGATGATCCTTTTCATCCTCTGGTGAATCCAAATAGATGGACAGATGGTGAGAGAGAGAGAGAGAAACAGATAAATCAATAGATAGATACGGACAGGAGACATTTTAAATGTTCTTCCCCTTAGATTCCTTTTTGTATTTTAGGTCTGAAATCGATCCCTTCAAATTGTCACTGCTTACTGTTAGGCAGGCAAGATTCAGGCCTGATCTCAAACCTCAAGAAGCTAATGTTCTCAACTATATTAAAAATCTCTAAAATATATTACATATGTATTTTATATATGTAAAATATATTTCTAACGTATTTAAATACATTACATATGTAATTATATGTAAATATATGTAAGATATTTATTATATATAAAATATAATACATATATTATGTTACATATATAAAATATATAATACATATTTATTATAGATTACATATACAAAGTATATAATACATACGTATTATAGATTACATATATAAAATATATAATACACACATATATGTATTATATATTACATATATAATAAACATATATGTATTATATATTACATATATAAAATGTATGGTACATATGTGTATATTACATGACACATATCTATGCATATATACATATATATCAATGTACACATACATACATATATATAATATTACATATTGCATAATATTTAACAGTTGTTAATAATTTGTTTCAGGCCAAGCATGGTGGCTCACGCCTGTAATCCCAGCACTTTGGGAGGCCGAGGCGGGCAGATCATCTGAGGTCAGGAGTTTGAGACTAGACTGGCCAACATGGTGAAACCCCGTCTCTACTAAAAATACAGAAAATTAGCTGAGCCTGGTGGCGGGTGCCTGTAATCACAGCTACTCAGGAGGCTGAGGCAGGAGAATCGTTTGAAACCAGGAAGTGGAGGTTGCAGTGAGCCAAGATCATGCCATTGTACTCCAGCCTGGGCAATAAGAGCAAAACTCTCTCTCAAAAAATAAAATAAAATAAAATAAATAAAATAAAATAAAATAAAATAAAATAAAATAAAATAAAATAAAATAAAATAAACTTGTTTCACCCAAACATTAAAAAATGAGTTACTCTTCGGGAAAAATAGGGAAATAATAGCAGTATCCACCTCAGTAAAAACGTTTGTCAACAAACTTAAAATATTTACACTCACCTTTTTAAAGTATTCCTGAAAAAGTTTTTCATTATTAAAAAAAAAGTAAAAATTAGTCAGAGTTTTCATTATCAGATGGCAAGTGCCTGTAGCCAAAGGATGCACACATAGTCATGGAGACGACTCACTCTGACCCCAGTAGCTGCTGGCTGAAAGCAATGTTTGTTCTATGAATGGCCTGTGTGCTCACAGAGAAAGATGGCTGAGTAAGGGCCATCTTACTTTTCCTTTTCCACTGGATTGATTACAATGAGACAATCTTTTTATGCCAAAGATTATCTCAATGTTCTATATACAATGTTCTACATACAGCTAATTCCCAAGGGAATTAGGTCTAAATTTAATTTTAACCACTGCATTTCATATTTTTCAGGAGTTATATTTGTCATTTGGTTTGTAATATCTACTCTCTGATCTAAACTATTCACTTCTGCCTTTTATTTTTGTGCTCATCTGGAAGCTAAATCAACAAAACAGCTTGGCATAGTAAATCATATGTTCTCACCATAAAGTTTATCATATTTTTTAAAGTAAAAAAAAATCACTCAAAATATTCTATAAGCAACAGTAAAAAAGAAAAAGTAAATTTTTCCCCTGAAAAGAACAGAAAGAATGTTAAGCACTCTAAGACATGTGTGGGGAATGTCGAAGACCAAAGGGCAAATACATTTTCATAACTACATTAAGTAACCAATGGAGCTGCACAGAATTATTCAGCTAAAATTCAAGCTGAGTTGAACACCAGGGTATGGCCACTCACCTTACATGAGTGCTTTACCTCATAAGTGAACTTACGTTCCACCTGAAGTGCTCCCCGGCTCTTTGCCATTTTGATTTTAGCCTTCATCACATTTTAACCAGAAAGCCTTTGCTTTAAATCATCTTGAGGTAATACTGATGGGCAGAAAGCCAGTAATGCAAGGGCTGTAGCAAATCTAGATGTGAACAAAAGCAGATAAATCACAATTTAACCAGTGATCAAGGCTCTCTGTTAATTAATGGAATTATTTTGAAACAAACTTTCCATTCAATGTAGGACCTGCAACAGCATAAAACGGAAGATAGAAAATATGTGTTTTCCAATAAACTGTTTTAAAAAGGAAGTAAATTTTTTGCTGAAAAGACCGTTGAACATATTTGGAATCCTATTTTCAAAAGATATAGAAATATGACATATTAACATGCACAAGGATTCACAAACAAAGCTAACTGAACATGTGCCTCATTAGCATAACTAATGAAACCACTCCCCAGGTCCAGGAGTTGCAGGGGAAGGAAGGTTTTCATGAAAAGTTCCTCAAGTTACGTGTGGAGTTGAAAATAACAATGAACAAGAAGTTTACTTAGTGTATTTCCCTTTATATTTTAAGGGGAACAGTAATGGTGGCATATTAAATAAGTGTGTTTTCATTTCATCTTTAAATCTGCTTTAATCAACCATATCCAAAGCTGAGGCTTCTTACCCAGGAAGTTACCACACAGAACAAAGCCTCTTAGATTTGACCTCCAAATGACTTTCTTGAATCTACAGCAAAACAGTGTTAGAGAGTATTATAAGGATACTTGGAGTAGATCAGTGAAGTGATTGCCAGGATCTTCTTCTCTGTACCCTCAAGGACCTACCCAACCCTTGAGAAAAGGAGGTGATTCTACAGGACTATCCAAAGGAAAATGAGGAACTAGAAAGTAATGGGCATATTCGTGTCAGAACCTCTAGGTGTTCGAGAGGACTCTATCTTTGAACTCAGCATTGGCTCCAACATGGTGCATGTGTGATGGCACAAAAGTAATGGTGGGAAGTGGCTGAAGAGTGATCAAGTAGCGGTCCTGGCTCCTCATGACCTGCGTGTGACACGCATGCAATCTAGATGTCCCCATGCTCTTCAGTAAGGCATGCAATAAATATTCATCCTGTTGCTATAAACATTCCAGAATGATGCTTACCTATATATGGAGTACTGAGCCTTGTGGTGCATTTCATATTGTACATGAAGGCTGTACCAATTATACTCCTGCCAGCAGTGCCCACCTACCCACCAGCACTAGATATTTTCAATCTTTTATAAAATTGACAAATTATTAGGTGAAAATGGTATTTTATCATTAGTTTAAAAAATGTCTATTCAGTACCTATGTCATAAACTTTTATGGGACCCAACTTAAATAAAAACAAAGTTCTTAAGATGATTAACATTTAATCATCATAACAACTCTATAAGAAAAATACTACTATCGTCTCCTTTTTATAGAAGAGGAAACTGAGCACAGAGATAGTAAATAACTTGTCCAAGGTCACCCAGCTAACTAGAATTCAAACCCAAGCAACCTGGCCCCAGAACCTGCACTCTATGTTATTATGGAAGCAGTTTTAGAAAAGTTTATGACATGAGGAAAGTGGAGTGGAAGTCCTTAAAGATGGTGGATGCGGAGACAAAGGAAAATGTTAATTGACTAGAGGCAAGTCAGCCGAGACCAGCCTAAAAGTACGTGGTCGACTCCTGATCTTTGGATCAGGAAGAGTATCTTAAGTGTCCAGAGAACAAAAAGATATACAAAATTACAAAGTCCTGGAAGAAAAAGCGAAAAGCCACTACATTGAACTCAGGTCGTATAAAGACTGTGGTTTCCATTCAGTCACAAGAAGTGAATCTGGAGAGGTAAAGAGGGAAGTGTGTGCACAAAATGGACAAAGAGCTTTCTTCCCAAGGCACTACCTGGGATATTCATGGAAGGTCTGTTGTTCGCAGTCTTCCGAACACAGTGGAGAAACATGCACTTCCTATTTGTATGAGCATTTAATAGAAATTGTCCTGACTCTACCATGAAAAGTAACCCCAAAGTCAAATGCTTTTGGAATAGAGCAGGGCATACTTATTCCCCATTTTCCAGTCACTAGCTAAATGTTTCCCTAAAGTGGTTTACAAAATAGTTAAGCCCTGTTACTAACTGAGAAGCAAGGCATTGCATGCACATTTATGTAAAAATTGTAAAGATTCAGAAGAAACTTTAATAATCATGGAATTAATTATTATTTCCTGATCCTGACCAGTACTCCAAATTAATTCTACAAATGACTCCAAGTCCAGTCCATCACTAACCAAAAATATGACCTGCTGCCTTATAATTCTTACTTTTTTAAGTATAAAGAAATTTCCGCTCTCGTTCATCATTAATATGTTATCTTGTGTGTTAGTGAACTTTCTAAAGGATAGAGATTTTTCTAACAGCTTTTTACCTTTTCTCACTTACACTGGTATTTTAGAAACTAAAAAAGAACTATGAAGAGGGGAGTGAGTGAGTTTCAAATGCATGAAAAGCAAAGGCAGGTAACACATGATGAGAGTGAAAAGAACCTAAAATGCTTTGAACATTTAAAAAAAGATCATATTTACTTTGGATTCCAGCTGACATACAGACCCATATTTGTTTTCTTTCTGCCTCAGATATAAACTTACAGTTAGATATATTAAGATTTCCAATTAATATGTGGACAGCAAAAATTTCAAAATAACGAAAATGAAAGAGGCAAAGACAGTTTTATTCCTATTCAGTATTTTCTGTCACAGTTTCTCCAATTTCCATCCCACATAGGGAAATTGGTATGTACTGAAGATTGTTATTGCCTTCTGAACATGTAAGAGCTTTGATACAAAAGGAATTTTGGTGGTTTATGATTTATTGCTTTATCATTTTTAGTGCCATCTCTGTTCATCCTCAAATCCAGGGCAGGCTACAGGACATTAAAAGGGCAACATTTTCTGGATTCTCTTTTTAAAGGGCAAAGCACTTACCATTTTCTACATAGAAAGCACTTATCTTTTGGCTCAGTGTTTTCAACGAGCAATACTGAAGGCTGCATTTTAGACCTCTTTAATACCAGAAAATTTATTTTTCCCGTATTCAACCAACTTTTAAATTTGTATGTACCATGATTCTTATTTTCCTGAAAACTGCAACTATTTTAGTCTACTTTAGTTCTACGTTTAAGGGAATTGTTTTTTTCATACACACTATACACACCACACACACACACAAGTACAGATCTATGATGGAACTGATTCCAAACTGTGGGGGTCCATATGATCCTTTCTGTCAGAATCAGCAGAGTCTATCACCCACTATCTAAAGAGGCAAAGCTCCACTACCACCTCCACCCCAAGGGGACAGAAATCTTAAAGGTATAGGTCATCTAAAATTACAAACACACTACCCATGCTTAGTAAATGACCATGTTTAAAATTAAAATGTAACTGAATACCTTCTCTTGAGTCTATTCTAATTTTTAAAATTTTCTTTTCTATGAACCAAAATCTGATTGCAGATTTTGAAATGAATACCTCTATTTAAACACAGGTTGTATTTTTCCCCCTTATACCAGTGCCCTTAATTATTATTTTTCATAGGCAATTGTAAAGCTCAGCTCCAGCTTTTTAGGAGCTCGAGGATAAGGAGCTGACAAACTAAAGAGCCAGATAATGAATATTTTAGCCTTTGCAGGCCATACAATCTATGTTGAACTACTCAACTTTGTCACTGCAGCTCTAGAGCAGCCATAGACAATGTGTAAATCAGTGGATATGGCTGTGTTCCAACAAAATTTTAAGTGTGCTGTATTTGACTCTTTGTCCTTAGTTTTTCAATCTTGGGTCTAGGTTATAAACTAATACTTTTTATCTTAGTTGTGCGCCATATTAAAATTTCCAAAACCAATTTAAAATGTCAGAAAATAAAACCAAATTAACATTTGAAAATCAATAGGTATATGTTCCAAATAATACAAAATTTAAAATTCTACCTAAATGTTTACATAGAACAGTTTTTAAAAGCTCATTAACTTTCACAAGATTGATTATTTTCAGAAGCAATGAGTTATCAAATACACATAATGAAATGAAAGTGCATTCCAACTACAATTCCAAATTACACTTAAGTAATTTTTGTCCTGCTATTCACCACCACCCCCATAGCATTACTAGTAACTCTGAGGCATCTTCCATATATCACCACATTACCACAAGCACAAAAGACAGAAACAAAGGTTTAGTGCCAAAATGTTTGCTGGATTTAAATATAGTAGCTTCAAACTCTCAATTTACACGGTATGGAAATGCAGAGATAAGAATTATTTTAAAAGGATACCTCTACAAAAGAACTGAAAACGTTTTTTCAGTTCTAACTTGGAACTGATTAAGTTACTGCTAATTAAGAAAAATTAACTTTGCAAGCTCTATCTTGCCATATGGACACATTGCCATTCAAGAATTTCTTCTTTCCATCTATTTCAGTGCTATGAGGTTATCTTTCTAAGAACATATTTAAGTATGCAATGTGGAAATCAAAGATTTAGAAATAATCCCTATGTTATTAAGTTTAATTCTGCACATCAAAATTCTTAAAATTGTTGATAATAGCAAAATAATCAAATATGTACAAATAAAAGAAAAGGGAAATTATGAGAATTTTCTAAAAATTGTGGAGAATCCAAAAATAATAAAATGTGTAGCTTTCTAACTTTCTACCTCATCACCTAAATTCCTGCCTCTCAAGCTACAACCACACATTCATTTCATAAATAAATTTCATGGAAACATTTTTTTTTGCCATTAAAACAATGGCAACCTTATATTCCCATTTAAATAAATTTTAAGACTGCAGCACATATTTTATTCCAGTTAGTAACCAGTATATTTGCAAAATTCCAGACTCTCAAACCCAGAATGTCTTGCCAGGGATCTATTTAAAAGTAGAATTATTCATAGGTAAAAACTTTAATCTGGAAAGAGCTTCCTCTTTTATTTATCCCTCTAACATGCTTATTGAAGTCAAATTTCCCAAATTTACTCGTACTATACCGCTTCTAATATTTTTAACATGTATTCCCTTGCTTTGCAATACCATGCCTCAGAAATTTTACTCTCCTTTAAGCAGTTGACTTGAGTTAGATTCCTGTCCAAAAGAGTTCAGTTTTCTTCTTTAGTAACCATCACAATAATACTTACCTAAGTAATTCTTATCTAAAGTAAAAATTCAATCTGTCTGAATGAATGATCTATTAAGAAATTTATTTTGTGTAGACCAAAGTATCTGATATATTGATTTCTACATTTGTCAGTCAGGTATTTGAAAATTAGGTAGAATAGGCCAGTCAGGTATTTGAAAATTAGGTAGAATAGAACAGACTCACACCTGTAATCCCAGCACTTTGAGAGCCCAAGGCGGGCAGATCATCTGAGGTCAGGAGTTTGAGACCAGCCTGGCCAATGTGGCGAAACCCTGTCTCCAATAAAAATACAAAAATTAGCCATACACGGTTGTAGGGACCTG
The DNA here is from genome assembly GCF_000001405.40 of Homo sapiens. NCBI lineage: Eukaryota > Metazoa > Chordata > Mammalia > Primates > Hominidae > Homo > Homo sapiens. The sequence goes on along the minus strand of NC_000006.12, from coordinate 64,038,944 downwards.
TGGTTCTAGCTACTCAGGAGAGTGAGGCTGAAGAATCTCTTGAACCTAGGAGGCGGAGGTTGCAGTGAGCCAAGATCGCGCGACTGCACTCCAGCCCGGGCTACAGAGCGAGACTCCGTCTCAAGAAAAAAAAAAAGAAAGAAAGAAAAAGAAAACAAAAGTAAAAAGAAAATTAGGTAGAATAAAGTAAATAAACCACTTAAAAATGTTCTACTTTGTGAAGACATCTTCAGAATAAGAATTAGTCTCATATCATTAAAAAAATGGAGGAAAAAAGAAATTGCCCATGATATTTTTATGCACACAATATTTTTTACTTAATTTTATAAAACATTTTATATAATTTTATAAACTATTAGGATATATAAAGTATATCCTAATATTGCACAATGAAGTACTGGATTTTGATAGTCAATTAGGAATGTGGATATTAAAAGTGACAAAACCTCAGCTCTAGAAGATAAGACTTTTATTTTAATGTATTGTTTATTTTAAGACAGGTAAAATCATATATATTTATCATGTACAACATGATGTCTTGAAGTACACATACATTATGGGATGGTTAAAATATAGCTAATTAACATATATATTACCTCACAGTTATCATTTTCATGGTAAGAATATTTAGTAGGCATTCCTTAGCATTTTTCAAGAAAATGATATATCGTTACTAACTGTAGTCACCATGCTGTGAAATAGACCTCCTGAACAGATTCAACCTATCTAAGTGTAAATTTGTATCTTTTAACCAACATCTGCCCTATCCACATCCCCCAATCCACATCCCCACTTAACCCCCAGCCTCAACCACCCCAGCCTCTGGTAACCACCATTCTATTCTTTATTTTTATAAAAGAAATTGCACCTGATTAATTTTGCATAAGGAGATTTTAAATGACCACTAATCAGAAAAAGTCAATTTGATCTAAAATATGTTTTAGTTCATTTTGGATGTTTATTCAATTTTATTCAGATAAATTGAAACTTTACCCAGTGCCTAAATTACAATTTAAGTATCTATATGATTGATGTTTCCACAGTTTTAGAAAATGAAATGCCACATTTCAACTCATCTGAACTAATAAAATATCATTCAATAAATTAAACCCTTCTGTGTTTTGAGGCAGGCATAAAATTCACAGTGACTCTGTACCCTATTAATGATTTTAGGAGGAGGTGAAAAATCAGAAATAATGACAGATGGAATAGCTAGTAAATCCGTAGCAACCTAGCATCTCATCTGCATGTGTGTGTTTATTCATTGTTTCATAGTTTACTAATGATTCATATTCATTGAATATGATCTTGTTAAGATGCTGCCAAGGGGAGTAGTTTATTCAAAACCTCATTCCCTCATTGGGAAATCTATCATATTTCTCATAATCTTTGCCTATCTTTTTTCCATGGATGTTTCACATTTTACATTTTTAAGTGACTATAGCAATCTATTTTGTTTGAAAATAGCAATTCCATAAAAGAATGAATTGCACATTTTGTGATGCAAACTCAAATACATTTGTCTGGTTTTCTATTAATATTCATGAAATTTGTTGCACTATTTGTTTTCTAGATTGTATTTAATTTAGTTTCCACTTTTGTACTAAATGTGGTTGAATACAAAGCCCAGATTGCTATTTTGTGAAGTGTACTGAAGTGTTAATGTATAATGTGGTTAAAAATGACTAATGAAAAAGTTAATAGGACCGTTTTCCACAGTCTACTTCCCAATATGTTCTGGAACAATCTTCCATTATCACTAGTCTTTTTAGATTTGGGAAAAATATAAAAATATTTGCCACTGTAATCATTATAAAATACAATAAGCTGTAATGTAAAGTGACAGGGTAGTATATAACCACATTTTTAAATTCCACTTAGTTGCCTATTATATGATCTAGTTTTGTGTTCCATGGCCATCTGAGGCTCCACATTTCCAAAACATAATGCATTATTTTATCTCACACTCCAAATATTCTCTTCCTCTTGTAATACTCATCCTAGTTACTAAGAATAGTTGAAATCATGTGCATTGGAATTAGATGGTCCCGAGTTCAAATCCTAGCATTGCCACTATCCTCCGTGTGGTCTAGAGCAAGTTACTTAAGCCAAGTGTCCTCATCTGTAGAAGGTAGATAACATTTATTACATCATAGATTGAAAGAGAAGATATAGGCAAAGTATTTAGCAGTGTCCTAAATCAGTAAGTATGAGTCTTACTTAGCCTCCTTCTTTATCATACACTTTACAGCCAATCCAGGCCCAAGTTTTTGTTACTCCTTAAATGTCTCAGTAACTCAAACTATCCTTTTCTCTTTATCCCCACTGTGACAGCCTTAGTTTATGCCCTCATTGTTCACCTGCGTGATGTCTGTAGCTCCTCAATGGTCTCCTTACTTAAACACTAACCCTCTCTAATCCATCTTCCATAAGATTAAGATTAAAATTGTTCCACATTATTCCAGAATAATAACTCTTCTATAGTATTCCAGATTAATGTCACTAATGTCTGGAACAATGTCATTACATTACAAATCTCATTATTTTACTTTTCCAAATTAAGTTTTCAATATTCTATACCCAAAATTATTTGTATGATTATTAAGGCCATCCATGATCTGAGACGTAGCTCCTGCATTAGCTCTCACTACTCACTCCCCATTCTGCACCCAAACTCCATCACCCTTAACAGTCCTATCATCTTTTTTTTTCTATTATACTTTAAGTTCTATCATCTTTACATGCTTTTGCATTTGCTGTTTCCTAGTCTGGAATGGCAGAGAAGCAACAAATACTTCTCCAGCTAGATCTAAGTTGTCACTGTACATTACTGTATTATACAACAAAATTTGCTGTATAAGATCTCTTAGAAGATTACTTCTTTGGTTATTACAGAAAGAACAAGTGTAAATCAGAATTCTAGTTCAAAATCTTTTCAGTCATACAGCACTACTCTTTAGTACTAACACAAACTAATGCCTTCAAGAAGATCAGAAGTACAGCTTTCCAAACCAAAACTTCAGAGCTAAGCCCAGAATCCAATTTTAATAAGATATGCTAGAGTGAATCTCTGAGAACTTATAATCAGATTTTCTAATAATCACTTTCTTATATAAGGTTAAAAGTAATAGAATTTAAAGAGATAAAAATTAAAAATTTTTAAAGCACTGCAGTGAAAAATGTTTTAAAAGAAAAAAGCATTTAGGATGACATGAAAATACAATTATTATGCAATAAGAAAAAATAAGATGCATCACTTTGAAGGTTGTCCTCTTACTGTCATTACTTTGAGTAAAGTGTCAAATTTCCCCTGCACATTTTCAGGGATGTAGTTGCATCTTACATGATTCTTTACTCTGGTTTCATAGAAAGTGTATTACTTCTTCATAGGCAGGTGAAACTAAACATAACCTAGGCTTCAAAGAACCAACATCGGAGTATTTGCAAGACCTGGCTCTGATTTCCTCATTCAGTGGTCTGGACATGTTTGAGATGTCATTCCATATCTAGCCCTGCCCTACCTAGTTTCTTTCTCCTCCCTATGAGTCATAGATTTTTAAGGCTATAACTGCATTTACCATCACATCTAAAGAATTTTCTAGCATGAAAGTATAGTTTCTAGGAATTCAATGGTTGTTGTAATTATTCTAATACTGTCATATAAATCTGTCATGCTTGTTGAGTAAACACAAATTAACCATAATCCTAGATGAAGAAAAATTGAATTCACTTAATCTCTTTACTGTCTCTGTAATTAAAATAGTCATTATTAAAGAGTTTATCACACTGGACACTATTGACACTAAGGACCAGATAAGTCTTTGCTGTGGGGCCTGTCATGTGTACTGCCACGTGTTCAGCAGTATCCCTGGCTTCTCTATGCTACATGTCAGTAGCCTCCACCCCACCCTTCAGCTGTGACAATCTCCAGACATTGACGTCTAGCTATTCTCTGTTTATAAACATAATATCCCTTTTAATTCCAAACAGAAAGCAGATGCCTTATTCCTTAAAATTCTCATTACCACATGTTGCTTTGGTAAGATATTAAAAATAGAAATATATAATTTCATCTTGCTGCAGCTTAGACTCTTTTTTTTTCCTTTAGTTGTAAGAGAATGCCTCGTGTTGCTTGTCATTATTCACTGTATGCTTGATTGTCCATTATTCCTCTTAATGCCATAGATGGATTATTTCCTGGCCTAATAACTCTGCTTCCTTTGACCTCTACAACTTTAAGACAGCATAGCATAGTACAGAGATTCCCAAACTTGGTCGCACATGGGAATCACCTCGGAAGCTTCAAGAACCCTTGGCATCTGTGTCCTACTCCCACAGACTGGGAGTTAATTGCTCTTGGTTATGACCTGAGAACTGTTATTTTTTGAGTCTCTCCAGGATATTCCAATGTGGAGATGGCGTTGGGAACTACTGGGATAAGAGTTAAGTGTGCAGACTCAGGGCCAGGCTGCTTGGGGCCCCATCTGGCTCTGCTCCTTGAGAGTGTGTGCAAGTCACTTGCATTCCTGTGTTTTGATTACCTTATCTGTAAAATAAATACCGTAAGATAACATTGCCTACATCTGGAGGTTATGAGCTAATATATGTAGTACATATATAAAAGTACTTGGTCTCTGGCATTTGGCAAGTATTATTCAATTGTAAGCTAGTTGTGGTGGTAGTACTAGTAGTGGTGGTATTAACAAGTACCATGTATTATCACTTTTTATTGCTCCCCTCAATCATTCTGTCTTCAACTTTATTTTTGTTTGTTTGTTTTAATTTTAATCTAACACTTACTGGACCCTGGATTTGGCCTACCATTTAATTTGACTGCCCTGCTATTGCAGACCATTACCCAATACAGGCATGACCAATAACAATCTATTAGGAATCTAGATCCATTTTTACTTCCCTTTGTTTTGTTGAATTTATGTTAATTAAATCAGTGCTCCTGACAAATTAGACTATACTGTAAAAATGTTCAAGATACTACTCAGCTACTCCACACCTGAATATTTGTTAAGGCCAAATTCTTTAGATTATATGTATATTTTAACAATGTAAGTCCACTCCCAATTTTATATATATATATATAGAGAGAGAGAGAGAGAGAGTAATCTCATTTGTGTCAGAATTACTTTGCAACAATTGAATGTATGTATACACAACATTATCAACATAACTAGTTTGAATGGGGAAGTTCTAGAAAACAATAATTCTAATTTTTCTAATAATTTTAAATTTGTTTTTGTAGCAACCTATCTGATCTGAATATAATTAACCTGTTAAATATTTTAAATGTAAATTTAAATAGATAAAAAATTTTGACAATTAATGAAGGTGTTATGTCCAAGTTTACATAATTTATTTAAAAATATTTGCAGCAGGACTTCTGACCTATTTTAGACAGTAATTAACCTTATTATTATAGTTACTATTGCGTGCTTAGAAATTTATTTATTAGTACTCTTTTTCAGGTTCAGAGATGAAAATTATTTCTTGAATTAACTTAAAATATTTTAGGGAATAAAACTTTGATATGTTTCACTTTCATCTTTATCTCTTGAAAAAGTCTTTTCAGAATTTACCAGAAAACCACATTTAATAGCTATGTGCCTATTAGAGTAAAAGGAGCCTTTTTTCTCTAACGGAAGTAGACTTACGATGAGTAGGTGAAAAATTATATGAGAAGTGTTTTGACTCACTGTATGAGAAGTAGAAACAACAACAAGACAAATAATGTAATGAAAAATGAGCAAAAACTTGACTAGACATTTCTTCAGAGTAGACATATAGACAGCTGTTACATAATAAGAAATCTAAATGTGGTTTCTGTCTCTAGCTCCTGGCAGAGCTTCTAAAATTCTTGTAACCTCCTGAGTGATAGGAGCATCTTCTGTTACAATGTTTGGTCTTAGCCCCTCTTCCTGACAAAAGAGCTTCTAAGACTCTTGAAGTCTCCTCAAGAGAGGAGAGAGTGGCTGGGGAGTGAGTTAATCACCACTGGCCAATGATTTACTCAATTATGCAATGGAACCTCCATAAAAATGTTAAAACAATGCAGTTCAGAGAATGTCTGGATTTGTGAACAAATTGAGATGCTAGAAGGGTGGCATGGCTAGAAAGGACATGAAAGTTCTGTATAGCCTCATGCCTCTCTTCTATTTGGCTATTCTTGAGTAGTATCCTTTATAATCCAGTATTAGTAAGAAAAGTGTTTTCCTGAGTTCAGTGAGCTGAATAGCAAATTATTAAAATCAAGGGTGGGCTGTGTGTACCCCCAATTTGTAGCCAAGCCAGACAAATGTATAGGTAATCTAGAGACCCACTACTTACTTCAGATTGACATCTGAAGCAAGGATTAGTCTTGTGGGCCTGAGCCCTTAACCCGTAGGGTCTGTGCTAACTCCAGATAGTGTCAGAACTGAGTTAAATTGTAGGACGCTCAGTTTGTGTCCACAGACACGTGGTATAGAAAACCCACACATTTGGTGTCAGAAATGTTGTAAATATAGAAAAAGTTTTTCCCTTTAATGGCCAATAAGCACACAAAGAAGTGCTCAAAATCATTTGTCATTAGGGAAAAGCAAATCAAAACCATGTAAGATACTGTGTCCGGAATTGGTGGGTTCTTGGTCTCACTGACTTCAAGAATGAAGCCGTGGACCCTCGCGGTGAGTGTTACAGCTCTTAAGGTGGTGCGTCGGGAGTTTATTCCTTCTGATGTTCGGATGTGTTCAGAGTTTCTTCCTTCTGGTGGGTTCGTGGTCTCGCCGCCTCAGGAGTGAAGCTGCGGACCTTTGCAGTGAGTGTTACAGCTCTTAAGGTGGCACGTCTGGAGTTGTTCATTCCTCCCGGTGAGTTCGTGGTCTCGCTGGCTTCAGGGGTGAAGCTGCAGACCTTCGTGGTGAGTGTTAAAGCTCATAAAGGCAGTGTGGACCCAAAGAGAGAGCAGCAGCAAGATTCATTGCAAAGAGTAAAAGAACAAAGCTTCCACAGTGTGGAAGGGGACCAGAGCAGGTTGCCACTGCTGGCTCAGGCAGCCTGCTTTTATTCCCTTATCTGGCCCCACCCACATCCTGCTGATTGGTAGAGCCGAGTGGTCTGTTTTGACAGGGTGCTGATTGGTGCGTTTACAATCCCTGAGCTAGACACAGATGTTCTCCACGTCCCCACCAGATTAGCTAGACACACGTGTCACCACACAAAAGTTCTCCAAGTCCCCACCAGAGTAGCTAGATAACAGAGTGTCAATTGGAGCATTCACAAACCCTGAGCTAGACACAGGGTGCTGATTGGTGCATTTACAATCCCTTAGCTAGACATAAAGGTTCTGCAAGTCCCCACCAGACTCAGGAGCCCCGCTGGCTTCACCCAGTGGATCTTGCACCGGGCCGCAGGTGGAGCTGCCTGCCAGTCCTGCGCCCTGCGCCTGCACTCCTCAGCCCTTGGGTGGTCGATGGGACTGCGTGCCATGAAGCAGGGGGCGATCCTGATCAGGGAGGCTTGGGCCGCACAGGAGCCCATGGAGGGTGGGGGTTGGGGGTGTGGCTCAGGCATGGCAGGCTGCATGTCCGCAGTCCTGCCCCATGGGAAGGCAGCTAAGGCCTGGCGAGAAATTGAGCACAGCAGCTGCTGGCCCAGGTGCTAAGCCCCTCACTGCCCAGGGCCGGTGGTGCCGGCCAGCCCCTCTGAGTGCGGAGCTGGCCAAGCCCATGCCCACCCAGAACTCATGCTGGCCTGCAAACAGCATGTGCAGCCCCGGTTCCCGCCCACACTTCTCCCTCCACACCTCCCCGCAAGCTGAGGGAGCCAGCTCCGGCCTTGGCCAGACCAGAAAGGGGCTCCCACAGTGCATCAGCGGGCTGAAGCTCCCCATGTGCTGCCAAAGTGGGAGCCCAGGCAGAGGAGGTGCCAAGAGCAAGTGAGGGCACACGCCGTCACCTCTCAATCCCCCCTCTAAACAGGACACCCCAACTGCTGTTGGGAATTTGGCCGATGACCGCTCTAGCTACTTCCTGCTGGATAGGGACGATGAAGGGGCCCTGCAGTTGTAGTGTCCTCCAGAGGGGAGGTCTCTAGGCCAGGGAAAGTGCCAGCGCGTTGGTCCAGGGGTCCTCAGTAGAAGTTGTTAGTTGAACTGATTTGGGGTTCCATTTGTAAGACCATCTGTAGCTTGATGGCCTCAATTCTAGAGGAAACAAATTTGACAAGCAGGTTAAAAATACAGGGTCCAAAGGCAAGTAATAACAAGATGGCTGACACGGGACCTAGAAAAGGGAGAAGCCATGTTGCCCAACTCCAGAGGTTGGTATAAGAATTTGAAAGGCATCTGATTTCAGAAGGCTTTTCCTGTAAACGCCGGGCGGCATCTCGTACTATCCCCGACTGGTTAGTGTAAAAACAACACTCTTTCCCTAAGAAGGTGCAGAGTCCTTCTTTCTCAGCAGTGAGGAGGTCTAGTCCTCGGCAGTTTTGGAGAGTTACTGCTGCCAAAGAGTCTATTTGGGATTGTAAAGTAAGAATAGATTTCGTTATTTCTTGCAAACTGTCTGAGAGGCAGATATGGGTCGACATTCCACTTAAGAAAAATATGCCTTGGCTGGGTAGACAGAAATTTACCCTGGCTTTTAAAGGAGTAGGGTACACTGTTTTTTCTTTACTACTTCCATCTCTCTCCTTCTCCCTTCGACTTCTTCTTTGTCTCTTCCTCTCTTTTTAACTCTCTTTTTGACTTTCTGTGTCTGTCCCTCCTTCTGACTCCTTTTCTTTGTCTCTGTTTCTGACTCCCTCTTTGACTTTCTGTCTCTCTGTCTCTTCCTCTCTCTGTCTCTTTCTCTTTGTCTTTCCCTCTTTCCTTCTTGCTGGTCTTTCCCTACCTCTGCCAGCTGCTTATGCTGCTGTTCTCCCCTCTTCTTCCCATTTTGATTGCTTTGGCAGTGTAAGAGTGCCACCTCCTTGTGTTTTTGCATTGTGTGCAATAACTCTATAATTTCCTTGTGGTATTTAATGGGGGCTCCCCCAGAGGTTAGGAACTCCCTCTCTTTCCATATTGCAGCATGGGCATGTAGGATTAGATAAGCATACTTGCTATCTGTATACACATTTATTCTTTTTCCCTTTCCCAGTTCTAAGGCTCGGGTAAGTGCCACTAGTTCTGCTAACTGGGCACTGGTCCCTGGGGGAAGAGGCTTACTTTCAAGTATGGTGACATCACTAACTATGGCATAACCTGCCCTTCGTATCCCATTCTCCACAAATGAACTTCCATCAGTATATAGGTTAAAGTCAAGATTAGTTAAGGGGACTTCTAAGAGATCATCTTGGGCAGCATAAGTCTGGACTATAATTTGTTGGCAGTCATGCTCGATTGGTTCCCCATCCTCTGGGAGAAAAGTGTCAGGGTTGAGGGCCACACACGTGCATTTTTGAAACACCGGTCCCTCAAGGAGGAGTACCTGGTATCTAAGTAGGCGGTTGTCCGATAGCCATAAACTTCCTTTGGCACCTAGTATGCCATTTACATCATAAGTAGTCCAGACAGTGAGATCTTTTCCTTGTATTATTTTAATAGCCTCTGACACTAAGATGGCCACTGCTGCAACTACCCTTAAACAGTGAGGCCAGCCTTTTGCTACTACATCAATTTCCTTACTTAGGTATGCCACTGGCTGTGGGGTTGTCCCACAAGTCTGAGTAAGGACTCAAAGAGCTATCCCGGCTCTCTCTGTGACATATAAAGAGAAGTTGTGTCCTGTGGGAAGGCTTAAACCTGGAGCTTGTACTAGGGCCTGCCTTAAGGTTTTGAAGGCTGTTTCTGCCTCTGGTTCCCATTCTACTAGATGAGTATTTGCCCTCTGTGTTTCCTTGATTAGTGTATAGAGGGGCCTGGCTATCTCGCTGTATCTGGGGATCCATAGTCCACAAAAGCCAGTAATTCCAAGGAACCCCCTCAACTGTTTTAATGTCTTAGGGTGAGGATAAGCCAGTATAGGCTGTATTCGTTCCTTGCTGAGGGCCCTGGTCCCTCTGGCTAAGATTAGGCCTAGATATTTGACATGCTGTAGGCAAAGCTGGGCCTTTGACCTAGACACCTTGTACCCTTGATTAGCTAGAAAGTTCAAAAGATCTAGAGTAGCCTGCTGGCACGAGGCTTCTGAACTGGTAGCCAGAAGTAAATCATCCACATATTGAAGGACCAGAGTGCCTGGAATTGAGAAGTGGCCTAGATCTTGGGCCAGTGCCTGACCAAACAGATGAGGGCTATCCCTAAACCCTTGGGGCAAGACCATCCACGTAAGTTGGGACATGTGGTCTGTGGGATCCTCAAAAGCAAAGAGGAACTGGGACTCAGAGTGCAGGGGAATATAGAAGAAGGCATCCTTGAGGTCCAGAACTATGAACCATTCTGCTTCCTCTGGTATTTGAGAGAGCAGGATATAGGGGTTGGGTACAACTGGATATAGAGGAATTACTGCCTCATTAATGAGTCTAAGATCTTGCACTACTCTCCAATGACCGTTTGGTTTTTGTACTCCTAGAATTGGGGTGTTGCAGGGACTGCTGCATTTCCTTACTAAGCCTTGAGCTTTCAAATGTTTAACAATATTCTGTAATCCTTTATGAGCTTCAGGCCTTAAAGGATATTGCCTTTGATAAGGAAAAGTGGTGGGATCTTTTAACCTGATTTGGACTGGGCAGGCATTTTTTGCCCTTCCAAATTGTCCTTCCAATGCCCAGACTTCAGGATTGATTCCCTCCTCAAGTAGGGGACAACAAATGGGTAACTTGTTCCCCATATTCATGTAGACAATAGCTCCAGCCTTGGCTAATATATCCCTCCCTAATAAGGGTGTGGGACTTTCAGGCATAACAAGAAAGGCATGTGAAAAGAGCAAAGTCTCCCAATTACAACTGAGAAGGTGGGAGAAATACCTGGTTACAGGCTGTCCCAGGATTCCTCAGATGGTAATGGACCTTGAGGACAGTCGTCCAGGACAGGAGATTAACAATGAGAAGGCTGTGCCAGTGTCCAGGAGGAAGTCAATTTCCTGGCCCTCAATAGTTAAACATACCCGGGGCTCAGTGAGGGTGATGACATGAGCTGGCGCTTGCCCCAGGCACCCTCAATCCTGTTGTTGGATCATCTGTTTGGGGGCTTCTGTCCCAGGGAAACTTTGTCCTCTGGGGCAGTGCACCTTCCAGTGATTTCCTCGGCACAGTGGACATAGATGGGGGGCAGCTTGTTTCTCATTGGACAATCTTTTTTAAAGTGTCCTAGTAAACCACACTGATAACAAGCCCTACCAGGTGATTGGCCTGCTCCATTTTCTGTCTTCTCTGAACCACCAAGGTTTGTTTGTCTGAGGGCCATGACTAAGGCTGCGGACTTTCTCTGATCTTGCTTTTCCTTTCGGGCCTGTTCCTCTTGGTCCCTATTATAGAACACCGAGGTTGCCAGGTTTAGTAATGCCTCTAGATTTTGTTCAGGGCCCAGGGCTTGCTTTTGGAGTTTCCTCCTGATATCTGTGGCTGATTGGGTAATAAACTTATCCTTTAGAATCAATTGACCTTGGAGTGATTCAGGTGACAGGGGAGTATATTTTCTTAAGGCCTCTCATAGCCACTTGAGGAAGGCAGAAGGATTTTCTTCCTTTCCCTGAGTTATGGTGGACATTATTGAATAATTCATGGTCTTTTTTCTAATTCTCCTTAGTCCTTCTAGAACACAGGTCAACAGATGTTTATGACTCCAGTCCCCATGATCTGAGTCAAGGTCCCAGTGGGGATCCATACTGGGGATGGCTTGCTGACTGGTAGGGAATTTGTCCCTTTCTTCGGCTGTCATTCTATCATTTACTCGACTAAGATACCAGGTGTCTCCAAACTCTCAGGCTGCAGCTAAAGCCGCATTCTTTTCATTAAAGGCCAGCGTTTGATCTAACGGTAGCGTGACATCTCTCTAAGTGAGGTCAAAGGTTTGCCCTAGACCCTGTAGGACATCTATGTACCTATCAGGATCATCTGAAAACTTCCCCAGGTCTGCCTTGATCTGTTTTAAATCAGAGAGGGAGAAGGGGACATGTACCCGGGTTGGGCCAAATTCCCCTCCCTCTACAGCTTGAAGGGGACATAACCGATAGCCTAGGGGGTTTTGTGGTACTTTGGAGATTTCTTTGCTTATTTCCTTCTGGGCAGGGGAGATTAGAGGAGGATTATCATTAATAGGAAGGGGAGCTATAGGAGGATAGGATATGGGGGTAAGCTGAGAGGTCCTCCTGTGGAATGTAAATTGCAAGCTTTGCATATTGTGTATTCTCCCTCAATGAAAAGAAAGCTTGGACATAAGGTATTTCACTCCATTTGCCTTCCCACTTACAGAAAAGGTCAAGCTGCAGGATAGTATTGTAATTTGTGCTTCCCTCAGGTGGCCATTTTTCCCATCAGAGAGAGAATATTGGGGCCAAGTCATAGTGCAGAAACAAAATGAGCTGCCTCTTTTTCAGGGTTTATAGGTCAAATTGGTCCCAATGGCTTAGGATGCATTTCAAGGGTGATCCTGTTGATGCCTGAGTGTTTCCCATCTGAAAGACAAAACCGCCCATGGTTTTGGTTTGTTTTGTTTCTTCCCCCTGCCCAAGAACCCACAACGGACCCTGGACCCTGCTGATCGGAATAGTTGCACTCACCAACACAGCAGCAGAAACAACCCCTGCCCAAGAACCCATAACAGTCCCTGGACCCTGCTGATCGGAATAGTTGTGCTCACTGATGCAGCAGCAGAAACAACCCCTGCCCCAGAACCCACAACGGTCCCTGACCCTACTGATCAGAATAGTTGCGCTCACTGACGCAGCAGCAGAAACACTAGTTTTCCTCCCGGACCACATGGAGGACCAAGGAAGGTTGGATTTAGTAGTCCCTACTGAGGCATTCTAAAAAACCTGCACCCTTGCCTGTCCCCTAGACCACAAGGAGGACTGACCAAGAAAAATCGGATTTATTGGCCCTTACTGATGCATTCTCGAAAACCTGTTAGAGTCCTAAGCATTCTCCTGTTAGTACTGGGACTTTACCCCTTTCCTATAAAGATGTTATGCCCCAAAAATGAAGTGGAGGGCCATACCCTGAGGGAGGGAAGGGATCTCCAGGGTTGGAAGAGTGACACCTTTTGTCTTCACTTATATGAATAGGAAGGATACACTTTCTGAGGCTCCCCATATCCTAGCTTCGGGAACAGCTTTTGTTGGGCCTGTTAGTCTGAGGAGGGATCCTAAATTCCAGGTAGTCCCCACTATGACGGAGCTTTGGGCAAAAATTATGTCTTTCTGATTGGTGAGCCCAGGTGCCTAAAGAAGGTAACAGAGTCCTGGAGTTTATACTAGAAATCATTCTCATAGGAGAAACTAGAAAAGCACCAGAGACAGGTAGCAATTTTTAGAAGGAGGACTAACCTCAGAGAAGAGAGGCGAGAGGAAGTTTGTCTGGTAGGCATTAGGACCCAAGGGGCAAGGGTCAGGATAGATAGGATAGATGGGTGAGTCTTGCTTGGGCGACATGCATTTGAGAGTTCCGCTCATGGCTGCAGGGTCAACCAACTTGTTGTTGGGACCTCGGAGCTGCACAGCTTTCCTCTCTGTCGATCCTCAGCTCAGCCCAGAAGTACAGGAAAAGTGGAAGCTGGTTCTAGGCAAACCAACGGTCCCAACTCCAAAGAGTTGGGGGTTGTTAGAGAGCCCTTTCCCAGAAAGCCTGGCACCCGTGTCTTTAGTCCGGCAGCCGCACTAGTTGCTTTTAACTGGCTGACAGGTGCCCGGTTATTTAGCCCCCGAATTCTAAGGAAAGATAGGACAGAATAGCAAGTGAAAGGCGTCTGATGGTACTCACTGCTTGGTGATAGGCAATTGTCTCACTGCTCGGCAATAGGCGATGGTCTCACCACATGGTGATTGTCATACCACTGGGCGATAGGCGAAAGTCCCTTCGTGGTCGCCAAAATGTGTCCAGAATTGGTGGGTTCTTGGTCTCACTGACTTCAAGAATGAAGCCGCAGACCCTCACGGTGAGTGTTACAACTCTTAGGGTGGCGCGTCGGGAGTTTGTTCCTTCTGATGTTCGGATGTGTTTGGAGTTTCTTCCTTCTGGTGGGTTCGTGATCTCGCTGGCGCAGGAGTGAAGCTGCGGACCTTTGCAGTGAGTGTTACAGCTCTTAAGGTGGCACGTCTGGAGTTGTTCATTCCTCCCGGTGAGTTCGTGGTCTCGCTAGCTTCAGGGGTGAAGCTGCAGACCTTCACAGTGAGTGTTACAGCTCATAAAGGCAGTGTGGACCCAAAGAGTGAGGAGCAGCAAGATTCATTGCAAAGAGTGAAAGAACAAAGCTTCCACAGTGTGGAAGGGGACCCAAACAGGTTGCCACTGCTTGCTCGGGAAGCCTGCTTTTATTCCCTTATCTGGCCCCACCCACATCCTGCTGATTGGTAGAGCCGAGTGGTCTGTTTTGACAGGGTGCTGATTGGTGCGTTTACAATCCCTGAGCTAGACACAGATGTTCTCCAAGTCCCCACCAGATTAGCTAGATACAGAGTGTCACCACACAAATGTTCTCCAAGTCCCCACCAGAGTAGCTAGATACATAGTGTCAATTGGTGCATTCACAAACCCTGAGCTAGACACAGGGTGCTGATTGGTGCATTTACAATCCCTTAGCTAGACATAAAGGTTCTGCAAGTCCCCACCAGACTCAGGAGCCCCGCTGGCTTCACCCAGTGGATCCCGCACCAGGGCTGCAGGTGGAGCTGCCTGCCAGTCCTGCGCCCTGCGCCTGCACTCCTCAGCCCTTGGGTGGTCGATGGGACTGGGCGCTGTGGAGCAGGGGGTGGCACTCATCGGGGAGGCTCGGGCAGCACAGGAGCCCACAGAGAGAGGGGGAGGCTCAGGCATGGCGAGCTGCATGTCCTGAGCCCTGCCCCGCGGGAAGGCAGCCAAGGCCCGGTGAGAAATTGAGCACAGCAGCTGCTGGCCCAGGTGCTAAGCCCCTCGGTGCCCTGGGCTGGCGGGGCCGGCCGGCCACTACGAGTGCGGGGCCCACTGAGCCCACGCCCACCTGGAACTCGCGCTGGCCCGCAAACACCGCGGCACAGCCCCAGTTCCCACCCGCGCCTGTCCCTCCACACCTCCTCGCAAGCTGAGGGAGCCGGCTCTGGCCTTGGCCTGCCCAGAAAGGGGCTCCCACAGTGCAGCGGCAGGCTGAAGGCCTCCCCAAGTGCCGCCAAAGTGGGAGCCCAGGCAAAGGAGGTGCCGAGAGCTAGTGAGGGCGCACACTGTTGCCTCTCAATACCACTTCACATCTACTACAATGGCCATAATTTTTATTTAAAAAAAGAAAAATAACAAGTGTTGGTGAAGCTGTGGAAAAATCGAGACCATGCCATTTTACACCGTACAATGTAAAGTGTAAAATATAAGTGTACATTTTACCATGTACAGCGTAAAATGGTACACTACAAATGGTAGAAACAGTTTAATGGTTGCTCTAAAAGTTAAACACGTATTTACTATATGACCCCCACAATTCCACCCCAGATGCATATGCAAAAGAATTGAAAACAGGGATTCAAACAGATACTTATATGTCAATGTTCATAGCAGAATTGTTCACAACCCAAATGGAGAAGTATCGATCAACAGAGAAATAGATTTTAAAATAAGCTATATGCATACAATGAAATGCTATTCAGACCTAAGAAGAAATGAAGTTCTGATACTTGCTACAGCATGAATTAATCTTGAAAACTTTATGCTAAGTGCAATAATCCAGACACAAAAAGACAAGTATTATATGATTCCACTTATGTGAAATATACTATATGGAATGGGCAAATTCATAGAGACAGAAATTAATCAAAGGTTACCAGTGGCTAGAGAAGGGCAGAATGGGGAATTATTGCATAATGGTTTGTTGAAGTCGAGTAAAAAATTAAAGACAAATCTCTAAATATAAAACGTTTTATTTGAGAAGCAAGAATTTCATTTCAGGGCATACACACAGACAGGGTGGTCTTTGCTATGTCTAAAGAACAAAGAGAAGGTTGGCGGTTTTATAAAAAGAAGAAATGTTATGTATTGTTCTTCAGGAAAATTCATTGGCACTAGTTTTGGGGAGCTGGTAAGCTCTAAATAAGTGATGGGTGTGGGTAAAACTATTCTTAGAGTCACAGCAGCCTGTTTCAGTAGATATTGAATAAAACTGGTTTCAGGTTGGAGCAGGCAGTTTCAGCAGCCACGCTTGCAGAGAATAACATTCTTGAAGAAATGTTATGTGCCCTGGGTGCTTTTTTCTTTCTGGCTCTGAACTCTGTTTTAGCTGGGTATGACAAGAATGACCAAATTCTTTCAGCTTTCACAGATTAGTTTCTTTTTGTTGTGATGAAATAATTTAGAAATAGCCAATAATGATATTTGCATAACATTATAAAAGTACTTAATGCCAATGAATTGTACACAATAATTGTGAAAATGGTAAAGTTTATGTTATATATTTTAGCGCACTAAAAACAGATTAGAAAAAAAATATCTCCCATGAATAGATTCTGGATACCTGAGTGCTGAGAACATTTTAGACAGAAAATATTATATTGTGTGTCCACCTCTTATTTATTCTCAGGTTTTGATGAAAAGAATGAGAAAAACTTTTAAAATTATAAAGTTATCCAAACTCCTTTATATATGTATTGCCAGTGTGAATGGAAACATATTCAATTTAATGGAGAATGGAGGGTAATTTGGACAACATCTGATAAAAATTACAAGCACAAATGTGCTTATTTGGCAATTCTGTTTGTAGGACTTAAACTCACAGATAAAGATATTCATTGATCAGTGTCTGTAACAGAAAAAAAGGAAATAATCTAAATATCCATAGAGAGGGGAATGGTTACATAAAATAGAAAACTTGCATACAACCTACAATGAAATACTTTGCTATCTTAAAAAGAAATAATGGGGAAACGCTTTGTATCATGATAGAAAACAATCTCCAAAATGAATTGTAACAAAAGCACAATGCAAAGAATATGTATAGTATGTTTCTGTGCATGTATATAATTTCTTACAGAGGCCTAGAGAACTTTTAGGTAACTAAATAAGAGATTACTAACAGTTTCCTCCAGGGAGGGAACTTGGGTGAAACAGGGATGGGGTGGGAGGGAGACTTGGACTACAACTTCTTGAGTATCTTTTGAATCTTGGACCATGTGAATGTAGTGAATGTATTCCCTACAAATAGAAAAATGTTACAACATATGATAATCTTTTCAATTCATCCATTGTAGAAAAACCATGTCCCATTGTTCCTCCTACTTATAACAAGACTTACCATTTATTTAGCTGATGAACAATCACTCAGCTTTTACTTTGGAACATTTTTCTCAAGATGTGCATTGTTGACAATTTAGGGCTGTATCCTTCTTTATTATTCCAGGCAGTCCTGTGCATTGTAGGAAGTTTGCCAGCATCCCTGACCTCTGCCTACTAGATGTCAGTAGCATCCTCATTCCCTGTTGTGATAAAGAAACATGTATCTAGGCATTGTCAAATGTACCCCAGGAAGCAAACTCCCCCCAGTCTAGCACTACTGCCTTGAGATAGATCATGTGTGGCGTTGAATCCAGTACCTGGCTTAAGAAAATGCTCAATAAAGGGTAATTGTGATGGAAAGAAAAAGAATGGCTTTTGCAAAAACAGCAGCAAAGCTACTAAGCAATAAAGAAAAGGCTTTTTTTTTTTCCCTTGAAAACTATCACTGCAAGGAATTTTAGTCTTTGGATGAGAAATAGACAAAGTGAGAACCATTTCTCAATTAAGAAAATGCTTTTGGGTAGAAAAGATTTTTAGGAAGACTATAGTAATAATGATAAGGTTTCCTCATTTGTGGACATTTCTTGGTTCTTCCCCTAATATTTTCACAATATAATGTAGAGGATCTTCTGTAGTCATCATAATTCTTGGATTCCCAGGAAATCCTTTAATACAAAAATAGGGTTTCTCCATCTGTCTATGGCACCACTATTGAGATCTTTCTTTGGTATTAATAATACATTATTTTAACATTTATAATATTCTCCCCAAGATTAGGACATTATCTAGCATATCAGATGATTCAAAGTTAACATAACCCACCATGGAAAAGTTTGCTGCATTGACTGTCTATCAATAAAATACAGTTGGTAAAACTCTGGAATATCAATATTTCTTTTTATCATAAGTAGTAAATATAATCCATCCCCAAAAATCACCCAAAATAATCAAGTGGGGATGTTTTAGAGTCTAAAATATCACATGTGAAAGGAATGGAAATTGTTGGATAATTTTTACCATTTCTTTTCCTGTTACTACCACATCTATTTGCACCCCATGAAGCCCTTGGTATCAGGAATAATAGTGAACATAATCTACCTTATACTTTACAGAAGTCTGTTACAATGTTTTCGTGACTTGGTTTGGTGTTTTTTTAGTTAAGTAAACAAATGTGTATGTTTATGTAATTTGGATGAAAACATTTCATCAACATTTTTAAAGGAAAAGGTTTTATGATATATTACATTTATACATATTTATAGGTACATGTAAAATTTTGTACATGCATTGTATGTGTAAAAATCAAGTCAGGATACTTAGGGTATTCACCACCATAGTATTTGTCATTTCTGTGTGTTGGCTGCATTTCAGTTCCTCTAGTCTAGCTATTTTGAAAAATGCAATTCATTGTTGTTAACTATAGTCACCCTACTCTGCTATCAAACAAGAATTCATTCCTTCTACCTAACTGTTATTACTCTATTTGAATAGCAATAAATGTAGATACTAGAGTTTAGATGTTTGTAATAGAGTTATGTTGATTTTATCAGTGTTTCTTGTCACTGATTACTCTGCGAAAATGTTAAGAGGAGATACACTATTGCTTTCTGATCTATTTCATAGCCTCTGCACAGCTGAGGTATTTGTTAAACCCAAAGCATTCAGATTATCTGTATATCTTAATAGAGTGTCCACTTATATACACTTATATATGTAAGTATATATATATATATATACTTATATATACATATATATATATATACTTATATATACACATTCTAATCTCATTCATCTCCAAATTCAACTATTGAACACTGTTAGTATTCAAACCTTTGCTTCTTATTTTTAACATTACTTCATTTAAAAAAGAAAGAACGAGGCTGAGCGTGGTGGCTCATGCCTGTAATCCCAGCACTTTGAGAGGCCGAGGCGGGCAGATCACAAGGTCAGGAGTTCGAGACCAGCCTGGCCAATATGGTGAAACCCCGTCTCCACTAAAAATGCAAAAATTAGCTGGGCGTGGTGGCCTGTGCCTGTAGTCCCAGCTACTCGAGAGGCTAAGGCAGGAGAATCACTTGAATCCAGGAGACAGGGGTTGTAGCAAGCTGAGATCACGCCACTCAACTCCAGCCTGGGAGACAGAGCGAGACTCCGTTTAAAAAAATAAAAAGGAAAGAAAGAAAATATCTTGCCCTTTATTTGTTTCTTGTAGCTACTATAAGAAATGGACACAAACTATGTGGCCTAAAACAACAGAAATTTATTATCTCACAGCTCTGGAAACCAGAAGTCTGAAATCAAGATGTTATGTAGGCAGGCTGCACTCTCTCCAGAAGTCCTGAGGGAAAATCCATTACTGCCTCTTCCAGCGTCTGCCAACTGAGGGCATTCCTTGGTGTTCCTTGGCTTGTGGTTGCATCATTCCAGGTTTTGTTGCTATCTTCACATTACCGTTTCCCCTGAGTCTCCAATCATTCACTCTCTCTGATTCTCTCTTATAAGAACATTTGTGAGCCGGGCATGGTGGCTCACACCTGTAATCCCAGCACTTTGGGAGGCCAAGGTGGGTGGATCACTTGAGGTCAGGAGTTCAAGACCAGTCTGGCCAACATGGCGAAACCCCGTCTCTACTAAAAATATAAAAATTAACCAGGCATGATGGCATGCGCCTGTAGTCCCAGCTACTCAGGAGGCTGAGGCAGGAGACTTGCTTGAACCCAGGAAGCAGAGGTTGCAGTGAGCTGAGACTGTGCCATTGCACTCCAGCCTGGGCAACAGAGTGAGACTCTGTCTCGACAAAAAAAAAAAAAAAAAAAAAAAAAAAAAACACTTGTGATGACATTCAGGACACTCCCAAATAACCCAGGATGATCTCTTCATCTCAAAAAACTTTAACTTAATCGCATTTGCAAAGACCCTTTTCCAAATAAAGTAACATTTACAGATTCTAAGAATTAGGATATAGAAATACCTTTGAGGGGGCCATTTTTCTACCATATGCTAGACATCAGCATATGAAAACCAAAAATGTTACCAAAATCAAATTTCAATTGAGACACCACAAAAAATTTTTTGCTATTCGGCTGTATAATTGCAAAACCTATGAGTATTAGTTTATTCTTACTCAATGTGCAAGTCAAAACATATTCTTAATGCAGATATTTAAAGAGTTTAGATTTGATGAGAAAGCAAGAAGAAACATCCAAACAACAACAACAACAAAAAACCCCTGAATATATAAAAGAGATCACTTTCCTGAGGTATGCTATTATGAATCCAATCTGAGGTTTATACTATATCTAGGTCACAACTATTTCTTTATCTACTTTCCAAAGGAAACTGTGTTAATTTACGTTTTCAAATGAAATATCCCATGGTAGCATATTTTTCAAATATATCTTGACTCCTGAATTCAGCTTTAATTTACATATTTATATATACATATACGTATATATATGTGTATGTGTGTGTGTGTATAAGTGTGTATTCCACGTCTTTTCTCAGGACTAAGTAGGAATAAACTTGGCACCAAGGTTTACACATAAGACATGGTTATAAATAAAATGGAGGTAGAAATGCTACTGCATGGATCTCTGATTTCCCAACATATTATTTCTTATACAAAATAATCGAACATTGGGCAATATGAGAGAATATAAGGGTTTAGAAGGTCAATGAAAATGTATAAGTTCCTTTATGTATCAGGAAACTCAGAGAGGTTTAAGTAAATTGCCCAGAGGTTTAAGTAAATTGCCCGAACATAGACAGCTAGTTAGGTTGAGAGTTGGGTCTATCATTACGAGCATATTGACTGTTCTCACCACTTCATATTAATGAGCAGATGTGCTAAAGGATGAACCTTTCACACAGGGAGAGCAGATAGAATTGTCACTGGGCTGTGGGTAGAGCAGACAGCAGGTAAAGAAAAATGGTTTGTCTAAGAAACAGTTCCACTGGCCTGTTTGGTCCCACATCACCCAAGTACACTGGCTTCAGGTCAGCATATGTGCATTGTGTGCATTATGCATCAGGTACTGTACTTACAGCTGAGGCTACCAGGGAGGAACCTGAGGAACAGAAGGCCAGAGAGAAAAACAGACACAAAACCAACAACTATGGAATAATATGACATTACCTGATTTTTATGAGACCTCACCAGACCATGGAAACAAATGAAATCTCGTATTGTAGTAATGCAGCTTCTTGAACATCTTCAGTACCCACAGATCTCCCACCCCCAGCATGCAGAGAGTCCCACAATTGTAGATCACAGATGTTCCCAAATAAATCCACTCTCACAGCCCTGTCAGGCACTGTAATTCTCTTCTAGGTACCCTGCCAGGAACCTGCCACCAACACTACAGGGTGTGGTAGTATGCCTCCCTCTCCTTCCTGTTACTTGCTATTAACAAGGTCCAGAAAGGAGTGTTTGTGGGGTCTCAACAGATTTTGCTTTCAGCTTTCCCTCCTTGCCTTTGCACTCATATAAGAGTTCAGTCCTAGTGATGGATATGACAGCAGCCTAGGAAGGTTCAAGCAGAGGACAGGAATTAGAGGAAAAAAGACCAAGGACATGCGGAGTGCAATTGATGGAAAGATTATGATTAAAGGAGACAGGAAGAAGGGAGTCCTCCATCTTAAGAGAACAGAGTGAGTGGTGGAGACAGGGATACCTTCAGAAGTAAAGGAATTGAAAAGCTTTCCTGTCTCAGTTAAGCTAAATAATTAGTCATTTGCTGCTAATCAGAGATAGATTAGCTAACAAGAGACGAATAAGAAATGTACAATACCCTCATTAGAAATCAAAAAGAGGCCAAGCATGGTGGCTCACACCTGTAATCCCAGCACTGTGGGAGGCCAACATAGGCAGATAGCTTGAGCACAGTAGTTTGAGGCCAGCCTTGGCAGCATAATGAGACCCTGTCCCTACAGAAAATACAAAAATTAGCCAGGCATAGTGATGTATGCCTGTAGTCCCAGCTACTTGGGAGTCTGAGGCAGGAGGATTGCATGTGATCAGGAGATTGAGGCTACAGTGAGCTGCACTCCAGCCTGGGTGACGGAGCAAGACCCTGTCTCAAAAAAAAAAAAAAAAAATCAAAAAGGTATGACACAGCAGCCAATAGCATAGATTCTGGAGCTACAACGTACAGGTTTATAACCCAGCACTGTGATTTATGAACTTTGTGACCTTGAGCAAATTACTTAACCCCTAGGTGCCTCAATTTCCTCACCTATAAATGGGAAGAATGTTTCCATTTATCTCAGAGGGTGGCTGCTGTGTAATATTTTAAAGTACTTGAGATAATGCCTGGTCTATAATAAATGCTATATAAATGTTTATTAAATAAAGTAAATAATTCCATTATACAGTATTTGATTATAAGAAGCTATTGCTAATAATAAAAACATACCCCTGTGAAGGTCTCTGTCACTTTGAAACATGTTATTCCAGTCTGTCCTGATTGGTTGCATTGCTTTTAATAGGAGGCAGGACAGAGCAGCCCAAAGGTACCAGGTGGTGAAATGGAATTTGCTAAAGAAAAGGAGCAAAAAAGCCAAAAATGGGAGAAAACATAGTTCCTTTGTTTGTTTCTTTGTTTCCTAGAAGCAACAAAGCTCAGCACTCAGAATTCCTTACTTTCCTTTTTGCCTCATAAGCCTGGAAACCAAGAAGTCCCAGCTTGTGTTCTATGTGTAAACTCATCCTGGCATTACTTGCTGTCTCTATTTGAATGCAGCCTTGAAGCTGGTGCACAAACCTGTCAGCCCTCATTAACACTAACCTATGCTGCTGATGCAGGTGCCCTGGCTATGCTTCCTCTGGTTCCAGTGAAAACTGACCTCTCAGAGAATGACAATGTCTTTCCTTCTTACCCTCTGTGAGGACCTTCAGATTACAACAATTTTATTCACCTTCACCTCACCATCACCTATCACCTACATTTCTTATATAATAGGCATTCGATCATTTGTCTGTTGAATCAATAGATCTATTTTCATTTGTATTTTAAATTATTTCCCTGAAAACTAATTTCTTTTATCCTTTATTGTGTTACCAATTTTTTCTTTTTTTCTTCTATTTTTTGCTATTTTACCTTATATTTAAAGCTACCTTAAATCATTATTGGATTGAGACTTTATAAATAAAATTAACACAGATTATAGATTTTTAGAGTTTATTAAATTTGCCTGTGGTCTTGAGCCTATGAGCCTTGCAATATTTAGTTTGCTATTTATATAAAGCAGTACAAAACATTCAAACCATTGTCTCTAACCATCAGTGATTTTTCTCTTTATATGAGATGTGGATTTTGGTTCTACTCAAATTTTATGTATCATCTTCTGGAAAAATTCCAAAATGTTTAGTGTAATTGTTTTTTATCAGAAACAACTCCAGGAATTATTATCTCTATTGTAAGAGTGCAAAACAAAGCAATTTTTTTCATCATCATGGTTACTTATTCAATTAAATTTTTCTCAATCTTTAAATTGAAAGTGCTCTTGTGGAAGCTATTTATAAGAAATTGACTTAAAGAAGGGCTAGTAACTCTTCTTTCAATCATTAAGCCTAGATTACAGATATTCATCAGTTCTACCTATTTTTATATTGGTTGAATTTCTAAAAGTTTACATGTCTTGGTTATCTCCAAATTGAAAGTTTGCCTAGGGTAAGGTTTTAACTGTTCTTCTCTCCCTATAGGAAATTTTAAAGATGGGGGAGTCATGTTTGACAAAGGGTATAGAAAGGACAGTTAGAAGGGGAAGTGGTGTACCTAAAACCTCAGAAACCAAAAAAAAAAAAAATAAAAAAAGACTAAATAAGCCAAGCCAAAGGATATTTAGACTGTGTGCTAGCTGGTAGAGAAACCAGAAACCAAAGAGGTATTGATCCAAGACTCACCCAATGGATCACACTGTAGCCTTTTTACACTTAGAGTGATAAGTATATTTACAACTTTGGCTCAGAGAGTGCTTCAGAAATTTAAATGTTTTACATCTCTAGTCATCTACTCTCTCTTCATATTTTTAATACAAATGTGAAACTAGGATTATTACTGACTTCACTGGATTAAACATAATACAGTATAAATATCTTAACATTAAAATATTTTCTGTTTCTTCATAAATCTCAGTAAAATGCATTGTCAGGAAAATTATGTACTGCAAATAGTACCAACCATTTGGAAACTGAAGTATTATTAGAAAACAAAAAAACTACATACTTAATGTTAAGGCAATTTTATAAAAAGAATCCCTCACTGTAACATATCTTTGTAAAAAAAAAAATGGCAGGGACACACATGGCCTTTTCATTTACCACCTAATGTGAGTGAATCTCCACCTACCAATATCATCTGAATTACTTTTTGTTTAAATTTTGGTAAAGTGATCTGCTTGTTACCTAATTGAGTTTTTCCATACGGTCTTTTAACTTGAAAAAAAAACTTCTTTCTTTCAAAATATGTGTGTGTGTGAGTTCAAATGTTTGAGATGAAAGGATCAGAAATCAATGTTTTAAGTCCTGAGTTTTAATTGATTACTCAGAGGAGTGAACACCCCTAAAACTACTAAAAACCAAATAAATTGAGTACATAATAAGTACTGGAAGTGGAGAATAAAATTAAATACTATCTCGTATTTGTAAACTGAACATGTGTAGGTTTTAGGGTAATATTCTTAGAACTTACATTCACCATCAGAGTGAATTAGCCCAATCTAGAACTGTGAAATAATAGATTCCAAAAAGAAAAAGAATTTTTTTTTTACTGAAATCTCAAACGAAATGGCAACAGTGAAGTTGAGCTTTTCAGCTTTCCTAATGCCCTTGTTCTAAGTGAATACTTAAATGCTACTAAGAAATGTTCAAGAAACTCAGTGGCATACTGGTTTTTAAGAATCATCTCTCAGGGAAAAAAAAAGGGTGGGGTGGTGATTTGTAGCATTTGCCACTTTCCCTGGAATAAATACTTTTACCATGGCCTATATTTCAAGCTAACAATATGAATTCACTGAATGTGGCATTTGGGAAAGATATGCAAAATTAGCTCTCACGAGCTAGTGCCAGGCTCCTCCAGCATCCCATTGACACTCATCATCAACATGTTCAGAGAGGTTAGAAATGGATGTCAGGTCAAAAAAAACAGGAAGCTTTCTGGATGCAAATTTATATTTGTGTAATTGTAATTGTCATTATATGAATGCTTTTACCGGCTAAAGAAAACAAGAGAATTCTGGGCATTTACACATTTAGAGGCGCTACCAGGAGACCATGAAATCTAGAGAATATGCTGCGAGTCCCATTGCACGTGAATTGGATAGCGTAGTCGGAAAGAAAATCACAGTTCTTGGAAAATCTCCAGTATCTCGTGATGGCTGGTTGTATGTTCCCTTGACGACTGCTCTGTTTAATCAAGGGAGTAAGTGAAGTTTCTGCTTCAGTGGTCCTCAGGAATCATCACAGATCCTTTTTTAATATCAGTACATCACAGGAAAATGGCTTGGTTTTCTCTGTAATTTATTATAAAGTGTATTTGGGCTGTTTTGTCAGAGAGAAGTCTAACTAATATAATCTAAAACTAGTGACCGCCACATGACTATCATCCAGAGGCAGGAAGTGCTCAGAAAAATCACTTATTAGAGGTCATGGAGCGCTTTTTATACAAAGCTCTTTGTACTGTCAGGCTGGCCAACTCTGTGACGATCTAAGCAAAAACAGGATGCTTTTTAAAAACAGTGTGTTTATATTGCTTTTGCTAGACAAAAGTCCTGACACTGTGGCTTTTATGCGTGATCCTTTTTTTATACTGTTTAACATTTATTTTGTGCTGAGTTGCACAGACAATGTCAAGAAATATGGCTGTGTTGATAGGGCTGTATGAAAACCATCCCACTTTTAGGAAACAGCATTTCCTTAAATTTGCTTACCCAGCCATGACAATCACACTGGATAAGTGAAGTGGTAAGGAAAGCTGTATGTCTCTGGACAGTTTCACCCATACTGCCTAATGTCTAATTTTTGAAATATATTTTCCATGTTTCCCTGTTACAAACAGGGAGGTAAAACAATAATGCTATCAATTAGATCTTAAGTTAGTCTTTGTAGGGATCAGATTCCTTTCAGTGCCTCCATCTCTGCCATGTACCTTTACTGCCATCTGCTGATACTGAGTCTCTGGGCTCTGAGTCTCCCATCCCAGCTATTCTCATGTAGAGCTGTCACTAGTCAGCTAAAACTTCTGGCTGAGCATGGAGATCATAGTTGCTAACAACTGAACTTACCCTCTTTCTATCTTAAATGTAGCCTAAGAAGATTCTTTTAAATAAAAGTTCTGAGTTAATGCTTAATTCATATGCTACTATTCACTTCAGAGCAATAGACTTACATTTATTCAGTATACATTAAGGCAAACTATTATTGGTCAGAAATTCAAGTTATTAATCTGGAAATAATTAAAATCTGGAAGATAGACATTTTTGCATTCATTTTTAACATTTAACTAAGAAAATGAAAGGAAAGAAAGGAAAGGAGGGGAGGGGGTGAGGGGACAAGAGGAGAGGAGAGGAGAGGAGAGGAGAGGAGAGGAGAGGAGAGGAAAAACTTATTAGCAATGTTAATGCATGCCCAAAATCTAAAATAAACAAGCCAGTGTTATTGTTGGGTAATTGCCAAGCCTAAAGACAAGAGAAAAGAACATTTATGTTTTGCACCTGTGAAAGCATTCAGTATCATCATCAATTTTGCAGTATTCCCTAGAAGCAGTTGGTGCTGTTCAGTTTTCTTACTGTTACATCATGGCTTCATGCTGCAATTATACATGAACTAGGTTTCACACACCTTCAGCCCAGCAATGAGATACTGCTTTAAAGCATTTAATTTCATTATGGTTTGATGCCAATAACTCATATAACCACCAGATTTGACAAATAAAACATAGGTACCTTAAAAAGAAAAAAAAATCCATACGTTCTATTTCTCTCTGGAAAAAAAAAAAACAAACTACTTTACTTATGTGCTTTTGAAATATACCACTGGAAAAAAAAATATGAGACAGATGCATTCAAATGCCTATAGCACAAAACAAACCTGAGATAGAAAAGCCAAAGAAATTAGTCCTTCCAAATTTAAAGACTGCAAAATCATGAAGGCACTTCCAAATGGCTTGGTTAACTTTTTTTTCATCCTACCTCTCACAAATTAAAGACAATTTTCTATGTACATGTCCCTTCAAAGGCAAGAACTTAGTTTGATCTTTCATTTTTGTGTTTTCTCATAATAAAAAAAGAAAATGGGGGATTTCGGGTCAAGATGACTCTGTAACTTCACACTTTTATGTGCTAGCAGTGATAGAAAAAATAAAGGAAGAAAACTGAAAACATGAAGGCAAGTTCAAAAACAAGACAAACATATCTTTAGACAAGAAATAGACAAATATGCAAAGCAGCAAAGAAGGTAAGAGTACATACTTGCTAAGATATAAATCTAGAAATAGAAAAGCTTATCTCCTGTAAGGTAAAAGGAACTAAAACTATTTGCTCAAAAAGATTTGTGAAAGATCTGATATAGATATAGGTTTATAAAGATAAATAAAATATATAAGGGAATATAAATATATTCATATATATATACTCAGAAAAAGAGAAAGGCTGCCATCTGGAATTCTGACTTTTAGCAAGCTGCCAGCCCAGGAAGAGAACAGAATGCAATCAAAGTATCATGACCTGAATTATGCCAAGCAGTCTGTCAGCTCTGTGAATGGACCTGTGAATATTTCCAGTATCATTGTAGGACAGAACTACCAAATACCTTTTAGCGAAGATTCCGGTTTCAGTGTCAAAAGATCAGGTACGTTTCTCATTCAGCAGGTAGGGTTGGGCACAGCAGAAGAACACAGGACATGAAGAATGGGAGTACACAAAAAGAGAGAAAAAGAAACATACCTCCCATTCAAAATGGGCCTGCACAGTACAATATCAGAACCCATAAAGATACTGGAAAAGGAACCAAGAAAACCAACAATGGAACAGGAATCATTCTAGATAAGACAATTTTTATGAAAGGGCCTGAAAAAACTCTAAAGTATTTTTAAAACACTAGAAAGCATAAATGAAGGAATAATTTTACTATTTAAAAAGAGAAATTACAGGCCACAGCCCTGTCCCCCTTCTCTCCACACCACCACCCCCCCCCCCAACCAAACACACACACAGCCAATGCCACCAGTGCAAATGCACACATGGAGGCTGGAAGCCCTGCACCTGCCAACACCCTGCCCCTGCCACACCACCACCACTGTCAGAGCAGGAGCACCGCATCCCCAGTCTCGCCAGTACTCTGCCACGGTGCAGGCATGTGCAACTGAGCACAGATCCTGCTGCTGCCACCCCGACGCAGTGCTTTGGCCAGCTCCCCTTCACCGGAGCGTTCTGGCCAGCGGACTGGAAATATCTCAGCCCTGCCAGCACAGCAGGTTCATAACCTCAAGGGGCCAGAGAGAAAAAGCCAGGAGTCTGGTACCAGCCCCACCCCCCAGAGTTAGAGCACACAGCCCAGGAGTGCTGAGCTGAGCACTGGCCCCCTAAAACCTTCCAGAAATGAAGCCAGTTAACTGAACCCACTTTGTACCACAATCAAACCCCCAAGGAAATCAAAGAAGATAAAAGCAAAAACAAACAAACAAACCAAAAACACATCCAAAGGATAGCAACTTCAAAGACTGAAAGAATATCAACCCATATAGATGAGAAAGAACAAGCGCAAGAACTCTGGCAACTCAAAAAACCAGAGTGCCTTTTTACCTCCAAAAACTGAACTGGTTTTCCAGCAATGGTACTTAATCAGGCCTAAATGGCTGAAATGACAAAATTGAATTCAGAATACGGATAGGAACAAAGATCATCAAGATTCAGAACAAAGTCAAAAAATCTAAAGAATCTAAGGAGTACAATAAAAAGATACAGGAGATGAAAGATGAAATGGTCATTTTAAGAAAGAACCAAGCTGGCCGGGAGAAGTGGCTCGCGCTTGTAATCCCAGCACTTTCGGAGGCCGAGGTGGGCAGATCACGAGGTCAAGAGATTGAGACCATCCTGGCTAACCCGGTGAAACCCCATCTCTACTGAAAATACAAAAAAATTAGCCTTGCGTGGTGGTGGGTGCCTGTAGTCCCAACTACTCGGGAGGCTGAGGCAGGAGAATGGCATGAACCTGGGGGGCGGAGCTTGCAGTGAGCCGAGATCACGCCACTGCACTCCAGCCTGGGTGACAGAGTGAGACTCCGTCTCCAAAAAAAAAAAAAAATCGAGAATTTCCTAACACAAATTAACAGCAGAATTGACCAAGCGGAGGAAAGAATCTCAGAGCTCGAAGACCAGTTCTTCAAAATAACTCAGTCAGACAAAAATAAAGAAAAATGAATAAAAAATGAATAAATGAATAAACCTCCAAGAAATGAGATTAGGTAAAGACCAAATCTACAACTCATTGGCATCCCTGAAAGAGCAGGAGAGAAAGCAAGCAACATGGAAAACATTTCAGGGTATCATTCATGAAAATTTCCTCAACCTCACTAGAGAGGCCAACATTCAAATTCAGGAAATGCAGAGAACACCTGTTAGATACTATACAAGATGACCATGCTCAAAACACATAGTCGTCAGATTCTCCAAGGTTGAAATACATTAAAAGTGTGTTAAAGGCAGCTAGAGAGAAGGGGCAGGTCACCTACAAAGGGAACCCCATCAGGCTAACAGCAGACCTTTCAGCAGAAACCCTAAAAGCAAGAAGAGATTGGGGGCCTATATTCACCATTCTTAAAGAAAATAACTTCCAACCATGAATTTCACACTCAGTTAAACTAAGTTTAAAAGCAAAGAAGAAATAAGATCCTTTTCAGACAAGCAAATGCTAAGAGAATTCATTACCACCAGACATGCATTGCAAGAAATCCTTAAGGAAGTGCTAAATATGGAAAGGAAAGACTACTACTAGCCACTACAAAAACACAATTAAGCACATAGACCATTGACACCATAAAGCAACCACACAATCAAGTCTGCATGATAATCAACTAACAACATGATGACAGGATCAAATCTGCACATGTCAAAATTAATCTTGAATGTAAACAGGCTAAATGCCTCAATTAAAGGGCATACAGTAGCAAGTTGGATAAAGAAACAAGATTCAAATATTCAAGAGAACCACCTCATATGCAAGGACACCCATAAGCTTAAAGTCAAGAGAGAGGGAAAAATCTACTAAGCAAACAGAAAATGGAAAACAGCAGGGGTAGCTATTCTAATTTCAGACAAAACAGACTTCAAGCCAATAATGATCAAAAAAGATAAATAAACTTATTACATAATGGTAAAGGGTTCAATTCGAAAAAAAGACCTAATCATTCTAAATATATATGCACCTATCACAGGACCCAGATTCATCAAGCAAGTTCTTAGAGACCTATGAAGAATTTTAGATAACCATACAACAATAGTGGGAGATTTAAACACCCCACTGAGAGTATTAGACAGATCACTGAAGCAGAAAACTGACAAAGATATTCAGGACCTGAATTTGACACTTGACCAAATGGACCTAACAGATATCTCCACTCAAAAACAACAGAATATGCATTCTTCTCATCTGTGTGTTGTGCCTGCTCTAAAATAAATGACAAAATTGGCCATAAAACAATCCTCAGCAAATTTAAACAACCAAAACCATACCAACCGTACTATTAGACCACAGTGCAATAAAAATAGAAATCAATGCTAAGAAAAATGATGAAAATCATACAATCACATGGAAATTAAACAACCTGATCCTGAATGACTTTTGGGTAAACAATGAAATTAAGGCAGAAATCAATAAATTCTTTGAAAATAATATGAATAAAGATACAACATACAAGAATTCCTGGGGCACAGCTAAAGCAGTGATAAGAGGGAAAGTTATAGTGCTAAATGCCCATATCAAAAAGTTAGATCTCAAATTAACAACTTAACACCACATCTAGAGGAACTGGAGAAATAAGAGCAAACCAACCACAAAGCTAGCAGAAGACAAGAAATAATCAAAATCAGAACTGAACTGAAGGAAATTGAGATGTAAAAAAACACACAAAAGATCAAAAAACCTATGTGTTTCTTTTTTAAAAGAATAAATAAGATTGACAGACTGCTAGGTAGGCTAATTGAAATTAAAAAAAAAAAGACTCAAACACAATCAGAGATAACAAAGGGGACATTACCACCAACCCCACAGAAAAACAAAAAACCTCAGAGACTACTTCAAACACCACTATGCACACAAACTAGAAAACCTAGAAGAAATGAATAAATTCCTGGATACACATATCTCACAAGATTGGACCAAGAAAAAATTGAATCCTTGAACAGACCAATAATGTGTTTCAAAGTTGAATCAGTAATAGAAAGCCTAACAACCAGAAATAGCCCAGTACTAAATAGATTCACAGACAAATTATATCAGAAATATAAATAAGAGCTGGTACTGTTCCTACTGAAACTATTCCAAAAAGTTGAGGATGAGGGACTCCTCCTTAATTCATTCTATGAGTTAAGCATCATCCTGATATCAAAACCCAGCAGAGACACAGCAACAAAAACAGAAAACTTCAGGCCAATATCTTCGATGAACATCAATGCAAAAATTCTCAGCAAAATATGGGCAAACCAAATCCAGCAGCACATCACAAAGCTTATCCACCATGACCAAGTAGGCTCTATCCTTGGGATGAAATATTTGCATAAACATATGCAAATCAATAAATGGGATTTATCATATAGAACTAAAGACAAAAACCACGTGATTATCTCAATAGATGCAGAAAAGGCTTTCGATAAAATTCAACATCATTTCATGTCAAAAACCCTCAATAAACTAGGCATTTAGGCATTGAAGAAACATACTTCAAAATAATAAGAGCCATTGATAACAAATCCACAGCCAACATCATACTGAATAGGCACCAGATGGAAGCATTCCCCTTGAGAACTAGAACAAGAAAAGGATGTCCACTCTTACCACTTTCATCCAACATAGTACTGGAAGTCTTAGCCAGAGCAATCAGGCAAGAGTAAGAAATAAAAGTCATCCAAGTAAGAAAAGAGGAAGTCAAACTCTCTCTCTCTGCAGACAATTGATTCTATACCTAGAACACACCATAGTCTCTGCCCAAAATATCTGCTCCTAGGAGTCTCTGCTTCTAGAACTGATAAACAATTTCAGCAGTTTCAGGATAAAAAAAATCCACATAAAAAAATCAGTAGCATTTCTATACACCAAAAACATCCAAGCTGAAAGCCAAATCAATAATGCAATCCTATTCACAAGACCCACAGAGAGAGTAATATCTAAGAATACAGCTAACCAGTGAGGTAAAAGATCCCTACAAGGAGAATTACAAACACTGCTGAAAGGAATTGGAGATGACCCAAACAAATGGTAAATCATACCAATGCTCATGATTAAGAAGAATCAATATTGCTAATATGGCCATACTGCCCAAAGCAATTTACAGATTCAATTCTATTTCTATCAAACTACAAATGACATTCTTCACAGAATTAGAAAAAACTATTTTAAAATTCATATGGAACCGATAAAGAGCCAGGATAACCACGGCAATCCAAAGCAAAAAGTGCAAAGCTGGAAGTTTTATGTTACCCAACTTCAAACTATACTACAAGCCTAGAGTAACCAAAACAGCATGGTACTTGTACAAAAAAACAGACACAAAGACCAATGGAACAGAATAGAGAGCCCAGAAGTAATGCCATACACCTACAACTATCTGATCTTCAATAAAGTTAACAAAAAAAGCAATGGGAAAGGACTCCCTATTCAATAAATGGTGCAGGGATACCTGGCTAGCCATATGCAGAAGATTGAAACTACAGCCCTTTCTTACACTATGTATAAAAGTCAACTCACGATGGATTAAAGACTTAAATGTAAAACCCAAAACTATAAAAACTCTGGAAGATAATGTAGGAAATACCATTCTAAATATAGGCCCTGGCAAAGATTTCATGACAAAGACACCAAAAGCAATAGCATCCGAAACAAAACTTGACAAATAAGACCTAATTAAACTAAAGAGCTTCTGCAAAGCAAAGGAAACTAGCAACAGAGTAAACAGACAACCTGTAAGATAGAAGAAAATATTTCAAACTATGCATCTGACAAAGATCTAATATACAGATTCAGTAAGGAACTTAAGTTAACAAGCAAAAAACAAAAAACCTCACTAAAAAGTGGGCAAAGAACTTAACAGAACTTAACAGACACTTTTCAAAAGAAGACATACTTGTGGCCGAAAGCATATAAAACAAAGTTCAACATCACTAATTATTATAGAAATGCAAATCAAAACCACAAGGAGATACCATCTCACACTAGTCAGAATGGCTATTATTAAAAAGTCAAAAAATTACAGATGCTGGCAAGGTTGTGGAGAAACAGGAACTCTTATACACTGCTGCAGGGAATGTAAGTTAGTTCAGCCATTGTGGAAAGAAGTTTGGCAATTTCCCAAAGAACTTAAAACAGAATTACCATTCGACCCAGTAATCGCATTATTGGATACATCCCCAAAGGCATATAGATTGTTCTGCCAAAAAGACATATGCACCCATATGTTCATCACAGCACTATTCACAATAGGAAAGGCATGGAATCAACCTAAATGCATATCAGTGGTAGACTGGATAAAGAAAATGTGGTAAATAGATACCATGGAATACTACACAACCATAAAAAAGGAGATCATGTCTTTTGCAGCAAAATGGATGGAGTTGGAGGCCATTATCCTAAGTGAACTAATGCAGGATCAGAAAACCAAATACCACACAATCTCGTTTACAAGTGGGAGGTAAATATTAAGTGCTTAGCTCAAAGGGAACACAAAGAAGGCAACAACGGACACTGGAGCCTACTTGAGGGTGGAGGGTGGGAGGATGATGACAGTCAAAAAGACTACCTAACAGTACTATGCTTACTACCTGGGTGATGAAATAATCTATACATCATGACACACAATTTACTTATATAACAAACTGCAACAGGTACCCCTGAACCTAAAATAAAAGTTAAAAAAAAAAAGTGATTCAAACTTTGATAATACTTATTGCTCCTTATTTAAAGAGTGGAAACTGAATTCCAA
Organism: Homo sapiens; assembly: GCF_000001405.40. NCBI lineage: Eukaryota > Metazoa > Chordata > Mammalia > Primates > Hominidae > Homo > Homo sapiens. Next base: position 64,004,397 of record NC_000006.12, on the reverse strand, counting down.
TATTTTCCAATAAAAATAACATTTTATAAGAAAGTATATTAAAATATTAGTTAAAATATGGGGAAAAGTTATAAAAGCATAACAGGCAGAAATAAAACACAAAAAAGAAATATATTCAAAACCTTGAGAATAAAAAAATTCATAGACATTTAAAACTCAGTAGATAGGATAAACTCTAGTCTAAAAACAGTTGAAGAAAAAAATGATACCTAAGAAGAATGTCAGACAGAAAAAAATAAGGGAAGATTTTTTTAAGAGTAAAAGCGAGATTAAGAAATTTAGAGGACTGCTTAACAGGCTTCCAAAAAATGTCTAACATAAGTTCTACAAGTAGAGATTTCAGTGTTCTGTGTATTAGTCCATTCTCATGCTGCTATAAAGGACTGTCCCAGACTGTCTAATTTATAGAGGAAAGAGGTTTAATTGACTCACAGTTCGGCATGGCTGGGGAGGCCTCAGGAAATTTACAATTATGGCAGAAGGGGAAGCAAACATGTCCTTCTTCATGTGATGGCAGGAAGGAGAAGTGAAGAGCAAAGAGGGGGAAAAGCCCTTTATAAACTATCAGATCTCATGAGAACTGACTCACTATCACAAGAACAGCATGGAGGTAACCACCTCCATGATTCAATTACCTCCTACTGGGTTCCTCCCATGACATGTGGGGATTATGGGAACTACAATTCAAGATGGGATTTGTGTGGAAACACAGCCAAACCATATCATTCAGAGAATACCAAAAAGCAATATTCAAGATGATTCAGGTAAAAATTTTCCAAAGTTTGAGGAATTTTTTTTTAATTTTTAAGTTTTGTGGGTCCATAGTGGATGTCTATATTTATGGGGTATATGGGATGTTTTGACACAGATACACAATGTGTAAATCACATCAGTTTAAATGGGGTATCCATCAACATAAGCATGTATCCTTTGTGTTACAAATTAATCCAATCATATTATTTATTTTAAAGCATACAATTAAGTTGTTATTGACTATAGTCACCCTATTGTGCTATCAAATAGTAGATCTTATTCATTCTAACTATATTTTTGTACCCAGTAACAATCGTTCCAACCCCCCAGACCCCTACTACACTTCTCAGCCTCTGGTAACCATTCTATCTATCTTCATGAGTTCAGTTGTTTTAAATTTTAGCTCCCACAAACAAGTGAGAAAGTTTGTCTTTCTATGCCTGGTTTATTTTACTTAACATAATGACCTCCAGTTCCATCCATGTTGTTGCAAATGACAGGATCTCATTCTATTTTATGGCTGAACAGTACTCCATTGTGTATATCTACCACATTTTCTTTATCCATTCATCTATTGATGAACACTTAGGTTACTTCCAAATCTTGGCTATTATGTATATAGGTGAACCTGAAAGGAAGGCATGGAATCCAGGAAACAACAGAAAAATATTGGAAAATTCTTTAATTCTTGTTTTTTAATGAAAGCTGAATTTTTGTCTTAAGAGATAAGATTAAAAAACATATGTTCAGTGTCCAAAATTTAGAAAATACAAATAAGCAAAAGACACAATTTAAAAATCATCCTCAGGCCAGGCGCAGAGGCTCATGCCTATAATCCCAGCTCTTTGGGAGGGAAAGGCAGGAGGATCACTTAAGCCCAGGAGTTCAAGACCCGCCTGGGCAACATAGTGGGACCCTATCTCTATATACACACACACAAAATCATCTTCATTCCCACTGAAGCAGGAAAGTTCCCAGATTCCCCTCACAGGACATGTGACAGGGATGTGCCTCCCCTGTTTGGTCACCCTGCAGCTCAAACCCCTAGAAGTAGCATGCAGATGGGCAGGTACAGAGGCTAGGGTGAGTGCTTTGGGCTCTTGGCCCTGCGGTAGCATCTAGGGGTGGGAGTCTGTGACTCCCGAAACCCAAGTGGGCATGTGTTACAGTGTGCTCCTTTAGCTTTGCTATCTGTGGATGGCTTGTGTGTTAATCAGCTCAGTGGGCCCTCTGCTTTACTGCAAGGGCAGGGGGCCAGTGTGACAGCCTTCTGTATCCTGAGCTCTTGCCCAGTGTCCCAGAAGAATCAGATCATACACAGGCTCAAAGGAAGAGTGCAAGGTTTTATTGAGTGGTGGAGGTGGCTCTCAGCAAGACGGATGGGAGCTGAAAGAGGGGATGGAGTGGGAAGATGGTCTTCCCCTGGAGTTGGGCCACCCAGGGGCTGGACTCTTCTCTGACAGCCCCCAGCCAAACTCCCCTTGGCATCCAGACATCCCTCCTATTCTCTCTTTCTCTGCTACATTGTTCCACCGTGGCTGGTCTGCTAGTCTGCTGGTGTCGACAATCAGCTGATTCTGTGTGTGCCTGCTAATGTCTCAGGTTTATATGGGCATAGGATAGGGGACATGGTGAGCCAGAGTGGTCTTGGAAAATGCAACATTTGTGCATGAAAACATGAGTGCCTATTCTCATTTAGTTTCTCAGGCACAGGCCAAAGGGTGGAGCCCTTGCCAGGGACCCTGCCCTTCTCTACCCAGCACTTCCCTGCCTGCCTCCCATATCACCAGGATACAGAGATAGCCACTGTTGATATTAGTAAAAGTAGCTCTGGTATTATCCTATGCATATTTTTATTAAAATTATATTATGTAATGTAAATTACATGTATCCCTTTTTCTATTTCACGCAAATATCTTTCTGTGTTACTATTATTCTATAACTCTTGTTTAAGAGCTGGATGAATTATTTAAATTACTTGATTTAATTAATTAAGCAATGAACTCTTCTTTTTTTACCTTTTTGCAGCCTTTTCATTTGTTTTAGATAACCTGAACTTCCATTTGGGCAGGTCTTCTAAAAATCTACAAATAAATTGTCTTTTCCAAATCAGAATGTTTCCACCAATATTGCTAAGCATACCTAAAAATTATAAATCTAAAGTGCAAAAATGTTAAGGACACTGAAAAAAAAAGTCGGTTGCATTGAGTTTCAGTTTTTAAAATAACGCAACTTGAGTATTTGATTTTGAATTCCATTATGAGCAATATTAGTAGAAGTGGATGAACAATTCAACTTGACTGTGTAATTTATTTTTACAAAAATCTCCTTAGAGATCCCTGTCTAGTCAGCAAATAATTGCTTTAACTTGGATTTTAATATTAGCACTGAATGATTTATGTACATTAAATAATGTGATTCTCACTAACCATTTATGAGCTTAGAATGATTATCTCCCTTCTGTACATAATCACACTTCAGGGAAGAAAGGTTAAGTGGTTTGCCTAAGATCACTCAGCCAGTCAACGGATTATCTCAGAATATGATCCTTAAGTCTTTAAATCATTAGACTAGGCTGGCCTCAGCAATACTTGAGAGGCATAAGGGATATGCTCTTAGGCTTTTCCTCAAATGATTTATGTGACATAATATCTCATTTGTTTATAGAGTTTTTTTTGTTTCTTATGACACAATTTGGCAGGATCTTGTCTGAGAAAGAGCACCTAAGGGTGGCCTCCCAAAGTGCTGGCATTACAGGCCTGAGCCACCGCGCCTGGCCAGAATTCAAGAATTTTTAACAGTGACCTGATCAGAATTAGAAATGACCTTGGTAAGCTAAAGTGGAAGCCAAAACAGCCGTGGAATAATTTACTGGAAGGATCATATCAGATTCTTATTACCTAGTAGGCAAGGAGAAGGAACCAGCCCACAGTTGCGCCTTTAAGAGGGGTAAGGGAAAGAGGAAGCTTAGGGTTTGTTTTTTGTTTTTTCATTCAACTAAGTCAACAAAGTTATTTTAAGAAAAAATATTACTAAGTTATTTAACCAATAATTGTTTAATAAAATTGACTTTTTGTTTTAAAAATAAAATGACCAACTTCTCCAGGTCTTCCAGGAACTTCTCTGGTTTTAAAACTAAAAGTCCTGCCGGGCTCGGTGGCTCACGCCTGTAATCCTAGCACTTTGGGAGGCCGAGGTTGGGAGGGGGGATGGATCACGAGGTCAGGAGATCGAGACCATCCTGGCTCACACTGGTTTCCATCTCTACTAAAAATACAAAAAAAAATTAGCCTGGCGTGGTGGCGGGCGCCTGTAGTCCCAGCTACTCGGGAGGCTGAGACAGGAGAATGGCATGAACCCGGGAGGCAGAGCTTGCCGTGAGCCGAGATCGCGCCACTGCACTCCAGCCTGGGCGACAGAGCGAGACTCTGTCTAAAAAAAAAAAAAAAAAAAAAAAAAAAAAAAAAAAAAAAAAAGTCCCATGTCTTGGGAAACTCCTCAGTCCCAGGCAAACAAGAAGGTCTGATCGAAATAAAAAATAAAAAATAAGTCTGATCGTTGTCCAAAATTTAAAAAATACAAATAAGCAAAAATGAGAAATGAAATCACCCACACTCTCAGTATGCAGAAACAGCCACTGTTAATATCAGCGAACATATTTGTATTGTCCCTACGAAATAAACTTTATAACAGTGCAAGTTACTGTTGATACAATATGGCAGGTGCCAGGGTAATATTGTTTGAATTTTCTTTAAAACTCTAAATAAGCTGCTTAAAAAATATGCCAAGTACCTTAGTATATGTACCTTTTCATATGATTGCATCATTCTATAAACTCTGATAAATTTTCAGTTGTGTATTCACCATTTTTGCTATTCATTCTACAAACTCCCTTAACCTTATGCTTTTATCTCTGAGATACAGTACCAGCCGATACATTAGCGGCATGCTTTCTGAGTTCTGATAACTGTATCACAGTGTAATCTCTCTGCTCAGGGGTATGCAGCCTTTCATTTCTTATTCCATTTCAATTTCCCTGTAGGCCAGGGAGGGGAAATTCTACCTAGGGAGTTTAGCATCATTTAACATTGATGTTACTGGTCCAACAATCTCCTACATGAGGGAGACCATATGTCAACCACAGTTAGCACTTAAAATTTGTCAATATCTACTTATACACATGAAGCTCTTTTTATTTTGTGGGAGGTTTAACTTTCTGAAAGCATTCCATGTCCAATTTTAAAGTCAGTAGGAGAGAAGGAAAATAAAACGCAGTGTTAGAAAAGAAATACATCTTTTATCTACTTGAAAATGTCCACACTTGGCTGGGTCCATATTTCAGGATTGTTGTGATCCAGAAAGTACCTCTCTCAATGAAGAAGTACTTACTATCCATGTGTGAAGTTACTCCTTTCTTGCCAAAAACACATATCATAATGGCCTCTTCTGTTTTACGTTTAGCTACACAACGCCTGTTGGCAGCCCTGGAGTTGTTTGTATGATTGAAATGACTGCAGATGGAAAACCTCCAGTACAGAAGAAAGACACAGAGATTTCCCATGCCTCTCAGGTAGGTATGCAAATATCCAGTTCCAAACACTAATTGTGCCCTCAGTATTTCAGATAAGTATTTTTTATGTTACTAAGCAGTAATCATATTTCTTAATTGAACAGATTCCTTGTAAAAACTCTCAACAAAGCACCAGAAAATTCAACTCATGCTTTAGGGATGATTAAATATATTTAATGTTGCCTGTCACTATCAAAGTTTTATCAAATTTAACAATAAACTGATTTTCCTTTCACACTTTGGATTTAATACATTGTGCTTGACTTTAAAAAAAAAAAAAAAAGACAGCTCCAGAGTGGGGAAAGATTGGCAAAATATGACAATTTTTTAAAAACTTGTGTTTTTATAGGATATGATAGTACTTGCACTGTTAAAAAAGGCCGTTCCCAGTCTTCCAGATTTGCATTGGCCAGAAAATTTCTCTTAGAAACATTGAATGAGTCTAAATTAAAAGAAAAGAGAATGTCTATCCCTCCAGAGACCAGGCAATTTGCTGAATTCTTTCTGTTTTAATGATGTGGTTGGTTACATTTTTCTTAGTATAACTTTATTGCAATACATTCATGATAAAAATTCCTAGTTCATTTGATCATCATGGAGAATTAATCTGTATAATTAGAGATCTAATTTTAGTAGACATTAAAGCAGCCACTATGCACTGCCTTAATGAATTGGAAATTTCATTTTATTTTCATTTCTTCTATATAGTCTCTTGAGTATATATAGGCATCCAAAAGAAGCACATAATAACATCTAACATTTGTATAAGCACATTGTATTTTCCAAATTATGGCCTTAAATATTATCTCATTCAATATCTGCAAGAACCCTGAAAAGGTAGAATGATTATCTCTTTTCTACAGCTGAAGGATGCTGAGTATCTTATTTGACCAGAATTTTATAGTGATAAGAAAGGAGGCTCTATCTCAGGCTCTGTTTCCCAGCACTTTTGTGTCCCTTTATAATGCACTGTACTGATCTTCATTTGCTACTGCAGCCAACTCAAAATTGTTCAAGTGGGTTGTTAGGGTAGGAATAAAATTGTTTTTATGTTTTAAAAAGTCATTCTAGATCCCGAGAGGGCCACTTATTTAGATTTAAGACATGGAATATTCAAGCAGTAGAAAATATATGAATGACTCATAGTGAAAAATGTAAAGCATTCAGTATGACTACATCTTTATTAACTCCTTATAGTTGCCCATTTTTTATATTGAAAGATCTGTATTTTCTTATGAATAGCATAAAATATGCTACCAACTTCTACATTAATGAATCACATTTTTAACACATAGAATCCAGTAAGTGCTCAATAAATATCTTTTTGTTGTTGAAAATGTTAAATATGACATATTTATAGCCTCTTTGACAAACCAGTTACCTTGCCCTTTAGGCTGACGAAATGAAATACCGATCAGAATGCTGCAAGTTGCACATGCACACACAGGGGAGTAGAATTTATTATTTCAATGGAAAATAATCTGGATAATTTTAGGGTGGTAAAGAGAGAATGCATGTAGGCACTCTAAAGCCTCGGTGGCTGTTCCCTGCTGCCGCTACAGGAGCTGTCACATGCTTTTATAACTCTGCCTCCTTAAGTTCAGCCCAATTCAAGTGCTCCTAAGCCTGGGTGAATCACTGCTACCTTCTAACTTGTGTTAACCCCAAAGCTCAATTTGGTCACGCTTGTGGAGGCTATATGTGGTGAGATTCTCTCAGACACACTTCAGTCCCAGAGTTACGGTATATTACAGCCTTCAGGGCCCAACCTCTATGGCACATGCCCTTTCTCTCCAAGTTCTGGCAGGATCTTGTCTGAGAAAGAGCACCTAAGTGGCTTTTCTACTGCATGTTTTCTACTGCCTTTTCCTCTATTATTACAGTAGGAGGATGATGGAGGTTTGTGGAATAAAGATATAAGAACTGAAAATTTTGTGAGCTGAAGCTATTTAATTTTAAGAGTCACGGACTTTGGCACAAAATATCAAAATAGGTTCTAGCACTGCCTCTACTCATTATAATTTAGTAGGGATTGTTAAGTATATTCAAAGAATCATTATGTACAAAATAGTATTTTTCAGTACATAAACCCAAAACAAAGCCAGATTGACACCAAAGGGGTTAAATCTCAAATGTGATATTCTAGGTTGGATAAGAAAAAACACCTGTATTAATTTGGAGGTTTTTCTGGTAATTTTGAAAGTAAAAAGTAAAAATTTATTCTTAATTCTGATAATAGCTAAAATATGTAATACTATGTTCCAGACACTGTTCTAAGCACTTTTCATATTTTAAATTATTTAATTGTTACCAAAAAATATGAAGTAAATACTATTATTATCTTCAAATACAGAGAAGGAAAATAAAGCACGAGGATGAGTTTCCTGCCCAAGATCACACAGCTATTTGGGGATTCAAACCCAGACATTCTAGCTAGATAGTCCATGCTTTTAACCAAAACTATGTGGTCTCACAACATTTTATATGATGTTTTCTTTTTTTTATTTCTAATCTGATTTATTGTTTTGTTTTGTTTTTTTACTTTAAGTTCTGGGATACATGTGCTGAACGTGATTTATGATGTTTTCCTTTATTCTATTGCAACTATTACTAAGCAACAAAATTTTATGTGTACAGTTAATTATATACACATTATTGCTAATTACTGTTAATTATATACACATTATTATGGAACAGATCTCTAGAACTTTTTCTTCTTATCTGAAACTCTATAGTCATTGAAGAGCAACTTTTCATTTCTCTCTCCCCGCAACCTCTGACTACTTTCTGCTTCTATGAGTTTACTTTCTATACCTTATTTAAGTGGAATCATACAGTATTTGTACTCTGTGGCTGGCTTATTTCATTTATCATAAAGTCCTCAAGGTTCATCTATGTTGTACCATATGAAAGATTTCTTTCTTTTAAAAAATTGAATATTCCATAATATCTACACATATATCGTTTTCCTTTTTTATTATATATTTAATTGACAGGTAATAATAGTATATATTTATCAGGTACAATGTAGTGTTTTGATACATGTATACTTTGTGGAATGATCAAATTCAGCAAATTAGCATATCCATTACCTCAAATATTTATCATTTCTTTGTGGTAAGAAATTGAAAATCCTCTCATTTAGTTGTTTTTAAATATGTTATTATTAACTATAGTCACCATGCTGTGCAATAGATCACCAAAATTTATTCCTCTTATCAGATTGGAACTTTGTACCCTTTGACCAATGTTTTTCTTTTTTCTGTCTATCCCCATCCCTGACCAGCCTCTGCAATCACCATTGTACTTTCTATTTCTATGAGTTCAACATTTTTAGATTCTACATATAAGTGAGATCATACTATACCACATTTTCTTTATCCATTCATCCATTAATGGACATTTATGTTGTTTCTATCTTTTGAATGATGTGAATAATGCAAATAATGCTACAATGAACATCCAACTGCAAATAATCTCTTCTATATCCTATTTATCCTATTTCCAGTTCTTTTGGATAAATACCCAGAAGTGGTATTGCTAGATCAGATGGTAGTTCTATTTTTAATTTTTTGAGAAACCCCCATACTGTTTTCTACAGTGGCTACATCATCTTACATCCTGACCAACCGTGCTCATAAATTTCCACTTCTCCACCTCCTCACTAAGACTTGTTATTTTCTGGTTTGGGTAATAGCCATCTTAACAATTATAAAGTGATATCTCATTGTGGTTTTGATTTGCATTTCCCTGATGATTGGAGATGGTGAGCATCTTTTCACATACCTGTTGGCCATTTGTATGTCTTATTTGGAAAAATGTCTATTCAAGTCTTTTGCCTATTTTTTAATCAGGTTATACTGGGGTTTTGTTTGTCTGCTTTGTGTGTTTGTTCATTGCTATTGAGTTGTAGAAATTCCTTATATGTTTTGGATATTAACTCCTTATCAAACATATGGTTTGAAAATATTTTCTCCCATTCTGTAGGTTTCCTTTTCACTCTGTTAATTGTTTTCTTTGCTGCACAGAAGCTTTTTTTGACATAGGTCCCACTTGTCTATTTTTGCTTTTGTTGCCTGTGCTTTTGGTGTCATAACCAAGAAATCATTGTCAAAACTAATGAAGCATTTTCCCCATGTTTTCCTCTAGGGGTTTTATGGTTTGGGTGTTAAGTTTAAGTCTTTAATCAACTTTAAGTAGATTTTTATGTATAGTGTAAGACAAAGATCCAATTTAATTTTTTCAATTTTCAAAATCCTTGCTTTTTAAATTATACCATTAATTTCTTATACAATAAAGGGATTTCAGAAGAAACAAAAGAAAACATATTATTGATTGTCTTACTGATTCATTGAAAATATTATCATAGAGCTGAACAAATTGATTCTTGATGATGAGTAGGGGTTACCTTCTTGAAAATAGTTTCCTACTGTGTGGAAAATATTGTGGAAAGTGGTCTGGAGTCTTCCTTAGAATGTGAATTTGTCTTCATTCTTTTGTTATTATAGTCAATATAATGGTCAGTAGAAGGTTTGCTATCCAAGATGTTGCTGAAGCTCTCCCATCAGGAACAGCCTTAGTGAAAAAGGAATTCAAGGCCTTTCAGGGTCTCTCGTCTCTCAGTTACTAGTGGAAGAGAATTGACTTGTGACTAACAGGGAATTCCTGGGACATTCTTAAAATAATGAGAATCCTTGGGAACATGCACTATTTCCTACTCCCATTAGAGTAATTGTTGCATAAGCAGATTGAACATATTTATCTGTTCCTACTTAAGGCTTGCCACTAGACTGATGTATCAGAATTTTAATGCCGTGTAATTATATAGTGTAAATTAAAGCAGTGTGGCATACTTGTTGAGAATAGAATATTTTACATTTAACGACATCTTCAGTGACTGTACCTCAGCTAAGTTCTGAATTTTCTACTACCTCAAGACATCTTTCAGATATATGCCAAATGCTTGCTCATTATAAAATGACACTCTTTTGCATGTGAATAGCCAGTTTTCCGAAGACCATTTGTTGAAGATTATTTTCCACATGCATTTGTGGTACCCTTTTCAAAGATCATTTGACCATGTGTCCATGGGATTTTTCACAGCCTCTTATGTTTCATTGGTTTATACATTTCTTTATGCCAGCACCATACACTTTTGATTACTATAGCTCTGTAATATACTGTGAAGTCAGGAAGTGGGAACCTCTCCCATTTTGTATTCTTTCTCAAGAATGTTTTGGCTATTTGGCATCCTTTGGTGCCATATAAATTCCAGCATTGTTTTTTCAATTTTTGTAAAAATATCTTTGGAATTTTGGTATGGATTGTATTGAATCTGTAGATTACTTTGGATAGTATGGACATTTTATTGATGTTCCATGAATGTAAAGTGTTTTTCTTATTTATTTGTGCCTTTTTTCTCTTTCAAGAATGTTTTGTAGTTTTAAGTTACATGTTTTTTGCCCTCTTAAGTTTATTCTTATGCTATTTTATCCTTTTTCATGTATTATAGATAAAATTGTTTTCTTATTTGTGATAGTTAATGGTTAGTCTATAGAAATGTAATTAATTTTTGCTGATTTTTGTATCCTGAAATTTTGCTAAATTTGTTGGCTCTAACAGTTTTTGTGTGTGTGCATGTATGTCAGAGATATCATTAAGGTTTTCTATGTATATTATCAGGTCATCTGTGAACAAAAAATAATTTTACTTCTTTATTTCTTATTTGGATGCATTTTGTTCCTTTTTTTTTTCTTTTGCCTAACTGCTCCAGCCAGGACTTCCAGTACTATGCTCAATAAAAGCAGTGAGTGGGCATCCTTATCTTGTTCCTCAACTTGAAGGAAAAGCTTTAGGTGTTCACCATTGAGTATGATATGTATTCTGTTGAATTAATTTCCTCCTAATCCTAATTTGCTGAGTATTTTTTCATGAAAGAGTTCAAATTTTGTAAAATGACATTTTGCGTTTATTGAGATGATCCTGTGATTGTTATCTTCCAGTTTGTTAATGTAATTATTATTACATTCTCCTTCCTGCGGCCTTGTAAGGCAGGAAGGAGAATGAACGCAGGAAGAACCAAACACTTATAAAACCATCAGATCTCAAGCGAACTGCCGCTTTCACAAGAACAGCATGGGAAAACTATCCCCATGATGAAATTACCTTGATCTGGTCTTTCCCTTGACATGTGGGGATTATGGGGATTTAGGGGATTACAATTTAAGATGAGATTTTGGGTGGGGACACAAAGCCCAACAATATGATCATGGAATATATTTTTCCATACTTTCACTTTCTCATTGTGTGTATCCTTAAATCTAAAGTGAATCTCTTGTAGGCCAAGTTTTCTTGTAACTCATTTCCTTTCTTGCTTTCTTCCTTTGTGACTTTTTAATGACATAACTTGATTTCATTTTTTGTTTTTTTGTATCTTCTATAGGTATTTTTTATGGTTACCATGAAGCTTACACAACATATTTTATAGCTATAGCAGTACATTTACATTTTAAGGTAATAATAACTTCAATATCACATACTAAAACTCTATTCCTTTATTGCTCCCACACACACACTTTATGTTATTAATCATAAAAATAACCTCATTTTATATTGTGTACATGTTAACATATTTTATAATTATAGTTATTTTATACTTTTGCCCTTAATTTCTAAATTCCTAAAGTTAGCATGCAATATACCCAGGTAACAAACCTGCACATGTACCCCTTGTATCTAAAATAAGTTGAAATCTTTAAAAAGAAAATATTTCAGAATAAAAACCATAAAAATAACAATACAACAATAAAATAATAGCACAAATGGAAAATAAATAAATTCCAAAATTTATTTACACACCATGATTACAGTATTACAGTATTCTATATTTGTATACATACCTACCATTTTTAGCCAGCTTTATACTTTCAGAAGTTTTTGTGTTGTTGTCTAGTATTCTTCTATTTCAACTGGAAAAACTTCCTTTAGCATTTCTTGTAAGGAACATGTAATGATTAAATTCCTCAGTTTTTGTTTATGGGGAAAGTCTTTATGTCTTCTTCATTCTTGGAGGACAGTTTTGGCAAATACAGTATTCTTGGTTTGCAGGTTCCTTTAAAAAATGTTTAGCACTTTAAATATATCACCCCTTTCCCTTCTGATGTGCAAGGTTTCTGTGGAAAAAAATCTACTGATAGTCTCATGGGAGCTCCCATTTACATGACAAGTTGCCTTTTTTGTGCATCTTTTAAAATTCTCTGGTTTTGGCTATAGTATGTCTCAGAGTGGACTTTTTTAGGTTCATTTCAGTTGGAGTACTTCAGCTTCTTGATTCTGGGTGTACATTTTCTTCCCCATATTTATGGAGTTTTCATTCATTATTTCTATGAATAAGCTTTTTCTTCTTTCTTTCTCTCTTCTCCTTTTGAGACATCCAAGTGATCCGTCTTTGAATTTTATGATTCTTTCTTCTGCTTGACCAAGCCTGCCGTTGAAATTCTGTAATGAATTTTTAAATTCAGGCATTACAGTTTTCAGCTCCAAAATTTTTGGTTGGTCCTCTTTCATATTTTCTCTTTTTTGATAGTTTCACTTTGTTCAGCATCACTTTTCTCTCCTCACTGAACATTTTCAAAATGGTTACTTCGAATTTTTTGTCAGGTAATTCATATAGATCTCTTTTTAAAGGGTTGTCTCCTGGAGATCTATTTTGTTCCTTTGATTATGCCATGCTTTCCTCTGTCTTCCTTTGCTTTCTAACTTTGTGGTGGAATCCACACATTTGATAAGACAGTCACTTCTTCCAGTCTTTTTGGACTGGCTTTTTGTACAGGGAAAGACCTTTAACAGTCAGTCTGAGGTCCTCTCCAGTGTTTCCTATGGATGTGTCTTCCCTGAACTTGTGCCTGCAGACTCCCAATTAAAGTGATTTTCCAGTTTCTTCTTTCAGGAGCTCATAATCTCTTGCTCCCTTTACTTTCTGTATATGATACTACAGGTTCTCTGGATCTGCCACAAGCTGCCCATCTCTCTTATTCTCAGAAGCCCTCAGACTTCTAGAGTATGCCAAGTCCCATTAACACTCTCAGTCAAACAAGATAGATATTAGTCTCTTGTAACATTCTGAAAAGCCAGAACATTGGGTGCATGATCCACTCTTTCACCCACTCCCTCCTGAGGGAGAGGCCATGAAGCTATACCAGCCTCTGTCTTCTGTATTCTGGGTCCTTTGAAGCAGAAGTAAGCCTCCCAAAACTCTTTTTTTCTCAGCAGTCCCCAGATATTGAGAGTAAGCCAGGTCCCATCAGCATTCTGAGACAGGTGAGACAGAAACTAGTGAGACAGAAGCCCCCAAAAAGCCATTAACACTGGACACATGCCCTCATTCTTTACCTCCCTAGTGAGAAACTGGAAGGTGAGAATTTTCTCTGATCCCATGCCAAGCCAGGACAAGAGACTGTGGTGAATGATTGCATATTAGTCCAAACCATCACCTTTGTTCTCAGTGATCCCCAATGTGGTACCCTTTCCTGGATCAGAAAAGACAAAATCCAATCACTCAAACAGCTCCCCAAAGAGTCTGCATGCTGGACATGTTTTAGTTTTCTATTTCTTTTCCCAAGGCAAAACTGGAAGCTGGGAGTTTTCTCTTCATCATGCCATGCTATGTTGGGGAGTGGACCTATAATGAATGAATGCCATAAATTTTCCTTACAGCTTTGATACAGCTGGCTTCACAATCACCTGACATGTGGGACCCTCTTAACTGTTTTCTAAATTCCTCTCAAAGGGAATTGGTCCATGTATTTTTGTTGCTTCTGTGTCTCCACAGGGGAAAGAGGGTCTGGGGCTTCCTATTCTGCCATCTTGCTGACCTATATGTTATTATTTTGCAACAAATTTTTTTATTATTTAATTCCCCAAATTATATTTAATTTCTTTATAGACAAGAGTAATCCCACATACTTCTTTTTTATTTACACTTCCCTAGATCAATGTGTTCACAAAGTAGCAACTCAGTTTATTGATTGCTTCTCTAAAGTTTAGTTGTCCCTTCAAAAAGGTGAGGAGATATTATTCTGAGAAAATTTCCTAGCCTAGAAAGCCTTAAGAATCAAATATTAACTGTGAATTATTGATCATAACATCAATAATCACTTCACTCATATTTATCAAATTTTTAAAGAAATAACCTTGTGTGAGCTACTGTCCTATGCAATATGCCATATATATATATAAAATATAGAAGGGTATATTAGAATAATAATATAACATTTATTCTGAGTGGGATCTTGTAAGGACATCCCATGTGCTGAATCTAGCAAAATATCGAGATTCTAAGGCAGCATAACACGGGGAAAGAGGCCTAAAAGACAACTAAGAGATTGAGGAAAAGCAGGATTGGATTTCATGTCATTTGTAAAAAAAAGTGTATAAAACTTTCTATTTTCAAGGCACTTCTATGGACTCCAAGAATCCAAAGATAATCAGGGTGAAGGCTCTGTCCTAAAAATAAAAATATATATTAACATAGAAGATATCATATGCTCACAGATTATTATACTTTAGGGAAAAGTAAGATAAAGAGAGGGAGAGAGAGATCCTTTAACTGCAAAAGAATGGGAATTTTGATAAATATTGCTGGTGTTATTTTTTATCCCTTTTCACTTATTTCCCTTAAACAATTTTTAAGAATTTAAGCTTTTTTAACATGTGAAAAGTTACTTCAATAAATCCTTCTGAAACACTTTATCCAACATTTCTTATCCACCTTTATTCCAAAA
Organism: Homo sapiens; assembly: GCF_000001405.40. NCBI lineage: Eukaryota > Metazoa > Chordata > Mammalia > Primates > Hominidae > Homo > Homo sapiens. The sequence goes on along the minus strand of NC_000006.12, from coordinate 63,989,292 downwards.
CTTAATGTTTCTGATTTTAAATTTGTTTCCATACAATTCAGATAATGTTAAAAACCAAAAATGGTAATGACTCTTAAATAAAAGCCAGTTTGTTTCAATTGTAAGTCATCATAATCTTAAAGACAAGTGCGCTCTGATAATTCATCTTAACCGAAAAGTATATTTATAATCACCTCTCCATATTTTAGTAACACAAGTCATTTAACTTCAGACGCAGAATTGAGAATGCAAAATAAAAGTAAACATTAAATCAGGATGTCATTACAGAAAGATATGCAGTACTCCAACATCTAAATTTAAATTAAAACAAAACAAAAAATAAATAGGACAGCTTCTTATCTACCCTCTCCCCTGCCTGATGGATTTTAAATTTTACTTCCCCTTTGCCTATTTTCTTATTTTATTCATACGTATCATAAAAGAATAACTATATTCTTCCTTTAAAGAGAAACTCTAAAGGAAAAGGAGTGTTCGTTTCACTCCTGTCAGATATGGAGGCCTTTTCCCTCAGTTTTCACTGATACTTTTTATTATTTTCATGATTCCTCCTTGATTGTCCATGTCTGTTCTCTGTGCTTTCATCTTGTACCATCATATCTTGATGTCAGATTTTATTCTTCATAGTCTGATTCACAAGGAATTATTAGAAAAGACTTATGTTAAAGACCTGTCTCCTTAGGAATAATTATACACACAAAAGTCGTCTCTTGGATAATTGAAAGTCTGGGAATGGAAGTCGACCATTTTAATGGTAATCTGTGTGCAGCCAACAACATCTGCTTTTTTAGACATTTCAGGACTCCAACTAAGCATGAGCCTCACATCAGAAGAAATACAGGAGCCATCTATTTCCATTGTTTGGGTGTTTTTTAATGGTCTAATAAATCATTGATAGCTCTATAGACTTTCCTTCATACCTTCCTACTGCTGACAGAAAAGGAGGGTATTCTTCCATTCTCTACCAGTTTTGTGCTTAAAGAGCACACTTGTCAAAACAGTGAAAGGTTCACTTTTCCAGGTGTGTGATCAATATACAAAGATGTCAGAGATCCTCAGTGAGAGGAAGGTCATCCTTTGGATGCAGAGTCTTGTAACAGTGGATCACTTATCTTAGCTAATAGACAGATCTGCTAATAGTTTGTAGAATGTGAAAACAAACAGAAATACACCTATGCTATGTGACAGCTCTATTGATACACCTTGCAACTTTTAGCTTCCACCATAACATACACAAAGATAATCACCCTCTGGGACCTAAATAAGAAGAAATACTCAGGAAAAAAAATTAAAGACACCCTTAGGAGCAGAGACTCAGTCTTTTAAAAAGAACAATATCTCAAATACAGAGTTAGTTTGACCTGTTACGGGTCATGGAGATGCTTTGCTCTTCCTAGAATTAAACATGTTTCTGCTCTCTAAAAGTACATCCACATGAAAACAGCACGTATTAGTATAAATGTAAAGCAATATTGCTGGGCATCTCTCACACTGTCCTCCCACCAGACCCCTAACTTAATTATTTGGCTTTAGTTTTTTAATTCTGGCAATGACAGTATTCCATTTTATTGTATCTGTAATACCAATTTAAATACTTTTCAGATGTCAACTTGAGGTATGAATGTGTGTTTTGGGAATTGGGATATCAGAGATGTTACCCACACAAATGTTGCTGCATCTACCTGCCATATGCCTAACAGCCCTGAAGAGCAGTGTCTTATTTCCAGATTATTTAGACTTCAATTGTAGCTCATAAATTCTTACAGAGAAGGTCTGCATTTTATGTACATCTAAATTATGAGAATTCAATTATATATGTTGCTGAGGGTGGGAAAGTAGAAATCAAGTAGCAACTTAAATCATGTAAACTGATTTTAGCATCATTCTGGTCAATGCACATAAGCTCTGCAATGAACATCAGATGTGAGAAGTGAATTTATTGTACTCAGTATCAGTTCCCTCTTAGTTTGACAGTGGTACATCTCACCACACACTGGGGGGTTCTAGAGTTTTTATACAACATGACATGAAATGCCAGCTTCATCTACAGCTACACTGAAAAAACAGCAAGCTATTCCAAAGCTGGAGGAAATATGTAGCTGTGTTGGAATTATCTGGAGAAAGCATGTTAGTTTCCAATGTGGTGGCTAAAGGATTTCCAAAGACAATTTAGCTTCTATGAAATATTCATCTTATTTGCCGTCTTTAGAACTAAATCCCATGTAAGATGTGGCCCTGTTGTATTGATCAAATAAAGGTAGATCAACAGCCTAATTTTACAGAGTCTCTTTATTCTACTAATTTTCTATAAATGGTTTGGTTGCCTTTAAGATAGTCTGACTTCTTTTTTTTGTTTTTTAACTTTTATTTTAGGTTTGGGGGCACATGTGAAGGTTTGTTACATGGGTACACCATGTCATGATGTTTTGTTGTACAGATTATTTCATCACCTGGGAATTAAGCCCAGCACCCAATAGTTATTTTTTCTGCTCCCCTACCTCCTCCTACCCTTTACCCTCAAGTAGACCCCAGTGTCTGTTGTTTCCTTCTTTGTGTTCATAAGCTCCCATCATTTAGCTCCCACTGATAAGTGAGAATCATGCTGCATTTGGTTTTCCGATCCTTCATTAGTTTGCTGAGGATAATGGCCTCCAGCTCCATCCATGTGTCCACAAAAGCCATGATCTCATTCTTTTTTATGGCTGCATATTATTCCATCCATGGTGTATATGTACCACATTTTCTTTATCCAGTCTGTCACTGATGGGCATTTAGGTTGATTCCATATCTTTGCTATTATGAATAGTGCTGAAATGAACATTCAGGTGCGTGTGTCTTTATGGTAGAATGACTGATATTCCTTTGGGTATATATCCAGTAATGGGATTGCTGGGCCAAATGGTAGTTTTGCTTTTAGCTCTTTGAGGAATCACCATACTGCTTTCCACAATGGCTAAACTAATTTACATTCCCACCAACAGTGTATAAGTGTTCCTTTTTCTCTGCAACCTAGCCAGCGTCTGTTATTTTTTTACTTTTCAATAGTAACCCTTCTGACTGGTGTGAGATGGTATCTCATTGTGGTTTTGATTTGCATTTCTCTAATGATCAGTGATATTGAGCTTTTTTTCATATGCTTTTTGGCCGCATGTATATCTTCTTTTGAAAAGTGTCTGTTCATGTCCTTTGCCCACTTTCAAATGGGGTTGTTTTTCTCTTGTAAATTTGTATACATTCCTTATAGATGCTAGATATTAGACCTTTGTAAGATGCATAGTTTGCAAAAATTTTCTCCCATTATTTAGATTGTCTATTTACTCTGCTGACAATTTCTTTTGCTGTGCAGAAGTTCTCACGTTTAATTAGATCCCACTAGTCAATTTTGGCTTTTGTTGCAATTACTTTTGGTGTCTTTGTCATGAAATCTTTGCCTTTTCCTATGTCCAGAATGGTATTGCCTAGATTGTCTTCCAGGGTTTTTATAGTTTTGGGTTTTACATTTAAGTAATCCATCTTGTGCTGCTTTTTGTATATGGTGTAAGAAGGGGACCAGCTTCAATCTTCTGCATATGGCTAGCCAGTAATCCCAATAAGATGATGTGATTTCTTTGTGTCTTCTCAAAGCAAGAGTCTTTTCTTGATCTGATTTTGGAATAAAAGGTGAATTAAGGAAGTGAATATTACCCAAGCAAAATTCTACTTCTCATGCATATTTATGTTCAAATTTGGGAGAAAGGAAACGGTAACATTTTCAACATTCCAAGCACCATTTGCAAGCACCGTACATTTTGCTCATATTTTAGGATATTTATAATATATTATGATTACATTAGTTTGTCAGGGTTGCCATAGCAAAGTACCACAAACTGGGTGGCTTAAACCACAGAAATGTCTTACAGTTCTTACAGCTCTGGAAACTAGAAACTAAAGAACTGTAGGGTTCTTTCCATATGATGACTTGAGAAAGATAATGCCTCTTAACTCATTTTTGGTAAGGTGTTGGCAATATTTGATGTTCCTTAGCCCATAGATGCATCACCCTGATCTCCGCCTTTTTGTTCACATGGCAATATTCCTGTGTGCCAGTCGGTCTGTATCCAAGCTTCTTTATAAAAGTCCTAAAAAGACTATTGTCCTTATAAAAGTCCTTATAAATGTCCAAAACGTCCTATTGGATTATAGTTTTGCCTTATTCCAGTATTGACCTCATCTTAATAAATTACATCTGCAATGACCCTATTTTTAAATAAAGTCACATTCTGAGGTACTAGGGGTTAGAACTTCAATATATGAATTTGGAGGGAACACAATTCAACCCCTAACAACAATTAGTTAACATGGCTTTATTTTCTTTTTTAGTTATTATTTGGTAATGTTTACACTAAAATGCAAACACATCAGCTCAAAAAAAATTTCAAAGTAATCAATCAGCAAGTTTTTCTGAGTGTCTATTTTTCTGCTAAATATTATTAGATATTGTTAGAGCTAAAAAAGAGATGTAAAAAAGGACCATTTTCTAAAACAGTCTATCTCCCCACCTAGTAGAAGTGACAAAACTAGCCAACAATAGCAACCTCTTTTACACAGAAAAACACATTAAAACACATCCAATTACAGAACCAAACATCCTACATCTTTTCCACATAATCTGACAACAACCTATAATATTTTTTGTTGTTACTTTTTCTACAGGCATATTTTGAATCAATGTTCCTTGGCCATATTCCTGCAAATGTTCAAATTCATAAGAAAGCAGGTCCTGTTTATGGGTTCAGGGGCTGCATTCTAGACCTTCAAGTAAACAACAAAGAATTCTTCATCATCGATGAAGCACGACATGGAAAGAATATTGAGAACTGCCACGTCCCTTGGTGTGCTCATCATCTGTGCCGCAACAATGGCACCTGCATCAGGTCAGTATTAGTCTCCTGATTCCCAACCTACGTTACATGACTCCAAATTCTTAAAACAACAAAAGCCAGCAGTATTGTCCTCTGAGAGACGAAAATGACAAGTCCAGAATTCTCAAGTTTTTCTATGCATCACCTAAATGATGCACACATGTGGTAAATTCTTGTTTGTCCAAAGAAATGTATATATTGTAGCTCAAGAGACAAGAGAGTCTCAGACTCTGACAGTAACTAGGTAACTAGACCTGGTTTTGGCAATTTCAAATGAATCCACGTCTTTATCTAGGTGTTCCAGCTTCTTGTAAATATGAATGAGAGGCTATTATTCATTGGTGATGGTTTTGATATATTTATTAATTTTTTATATTTATTAATTTTTATATTTGTTTTTTACTCATCTGCCAAAAAAGAATCTGCTTAGATTGCTAAGGTTAGAGGTAAAAACAAAATTACCTATATCTGTTTTCTCTTTTTATTTGCAATCCTATATCCTTTTTTCTTCTTGAAGCAGATTTATCATGCTTATAAACTTAAGAAGATTTTAATTAAAATTACTTTCTGCTCCACTTAAATGTCTTAACTGAATCAACCCTGAGGGAGTCTCATTTGAACAGTGTAAAACATATTCCCAATTTTCTTCAGTCATCTGAGAATTCTTTATTTTGGAGCTACAAATAATGACAGAATGGAAGCTGAAACAGATACAACTTACAATAATTCAAGTCAAGGAAAAATTGACCAAATTGCACAGGAAATATTTTAATTAATTAACCTCAGTATTTTCATGGGGAAAGCTATCAAGCAGTCAATAATTACTCCATAAAAATAAACATCTCTATACACAGTGTAGAAAAGAGAGAAATTTTATCAAAAAAGCAGGATTTAAAAATGGTAGACAGAAACAAGCTCTGATAGTGATCACTAGAATAGAAAATAAAAAAAGAGAGAAAGAACCAATCACAAAGACAAGAAACAGAGGACTGGGCAGATATGATAAAGTCAATGTGATATATTTACCAATCACAGAATGACAGTAATAAATTTGAAAAAAATAAAAAAGGCATGGTTAGTGGAAAAGTCAGGCAGAGTTTCTTAGAGTGTCTAGAAATTTGGCTTCTGATTCACTGTGTAAGTATCTGACTTACATAGTGAATTTATACACATTTATACATTGGTACAATAACAGCAACATAGACCTATTCAACATAAGTACAATGGATACAGATTTAAAGAACTAAATGAGAGTAAATCTGGGGGCTAAGAGTGAACGTTATCTCCTTGACTATCATCACTTTCCTCAAGGCTTTACTCAATAAGTATTTTGCTTTATAATCACCCACTAATACCAATTGTTTTTCAAAATCTAATAATGCAAAAATAATTTAGCAAGGCAACTTTCAAACCCCATAGAAGAACGTGCAATTCTGTCAAATTAAGTGAAATAGAAACGGGAAAAAACCTTCTCTAACTGACTGTGTTAATGTCTGAAATATTTGTGTTATTCAACCTAAGTAAATATTTTCCATGAGGCTTTATTACTGATGAAATTACAGAAGTTACAAGAATTGTGTTTTCTCCCTCCCTATATGTGGTGAACATACCCTACTATGGCCCTGCAATCCCCCTCCTGTTATTGTTCATGCCTTTCTGTGATCCTCCCTCCCTGACTGTGGGTGAAACCTGTGACTTGCTTTTAACCAACAGACTATCTGATAAACTAAGGTGATGAGACATCACTTCCAGGATTAGACTACATAGAAGTGTAAGCTGTATATTACAAAGAGATTATCTCTTTTGCTGCCTTTGAGGAAGCAAACAGCAGTTTGGGGAAGACCCACATGAAAAGACACTGAGGCAGCCTCCAGCCAACAAGAAGCAGAGTTGAGGGTGTCCCCTGGCTGACAACCAGCAAATATTGAATCCCTCATTCTTACAACTGCAAAGAATTGAATTTTACCAACAACCACATGAGCTTGAAAATGGGCCCTTTCCCCAGTCAAGCCTTGAGATGAGACCCCCAACCTATCCCATACCTTTACTGCAATGTGAGATTCTTATGCAGAAAATCCAGTGAATCCATGCCCAAACTTGGCTCATGGAAACTGTGAGTTAACTGTTAGTATGTTCTTTTAAGGTGCTAAGTTGGTGTTAATATTGTTATTCAGGAATAGAAAACTAACACACTCTCATTTCCTGGAAAAGTGTCTAACATTACCAACTCAGAGAAATAGGTAAGGATAAGGTTTATTTTAGGACATTAACTTTCTGATATTTAGTAAGCCAAGTATGTGTTAAATAAAGTAAACCTCTTATCTGCATGAATTAAAGAACATCACATTAATTCCAATCTCAGTTATTTAATATGTATTTGAAAATAACAATAAAGATAATCTTCCTAACAGGATGTATATATAAGCAGTCCTAGATTTATTTATACTTTATATATTGATTCTCTTAGACTTATTCCAACAAACATTGTCTGAGAGCCAACTAAGAGCCAAGGTAATTGTAAATCAAAGATGTATATTCAAGACACACAAAGAGTTTTTATTCTAGCGTGGAAGCTCTATCAGCTCTTCAGGACTTAAGGTAAATTTTCCCACAAAAAAATGTATCAGTCAGTCTTCATCACGTACATTATCTCACCTTCCATCCTCATTTCTAAATCTCTCAACCTCTCAACCACAACTCCAGAGAAATCTACTGGAAGGTCAACTGATTTGGCATGCACTGTTTAAAGACTTCCAGATCTGTATGTCCCTTTATACTGCTAGCCACATGGAGATGTACCAGTTGTGTATCATTAAGTATAACACTTCTTCACATCTTATGAACAACATGCTTTCTATTTTGATTGCCGGTGCTCAGCTCCTGTAAACTACTACTTACACCGTTGCATACAGGACATGCTGCTCCATGGCAGCTATGACTTATATTCCTGCAATCCCTTTGTGTACTTCAACATGCAATACAGTGGAGTTGGCCAGTTCCAGAACAACAATTTTTTTTTAATTCTTGAAAGGATCCTAAGAAGAGATGCCTGTAGTATATCAGAAGTTTAATACAAGAAAACAGAGAGCTATAGGACCACGGAGGAGATTATCAGAATAAGAATGCTGTCTTTTGCTCTTCCCACCAATACCCAACCCTACAGCTAGCACTCCAGCAGTTTGTGCAGTAATCCAAAAAGGAGAACCAGAAAATGTACTGAAGGAGAACATAGACTCCCAATGAGACCATAAGCAGTTTCAGCTCATTAAGAAGAACATGGGTCAAAGAGGTAGGACACAGAGGGCCATCACCATAACCAACTCTCTCCCTCAACAGATGCATATTCACACTTGGCATACACGGAGCAGTGTAGAGTCTTCCAACAAAGAAATTTAGAGAAACCCTGTGCTACTGAGTGAGCCTCATTCTGATTCTGACAAAATGGATCTGAACTGACTTCATGATTTTGGTAACCCACTTCCTATCTATGTTGTTAGCCGAAGCCAAAGGTTCTCTTTCTTTCTGCTGCCATATCATAAAGTGGATTTCTCCAAAATCTTCTACTCTCTTCCAGTCCTTCTCATCCTTTGGCTCTGTTTTTTTCCCTCAGTCCATGCCATCTGACCTGATCTCACTCCTGAGCCCATCTAGGCAGAGTTCTAAACTTCCCCTCTCTTTCCTCCTATTTTCTCAAAAGAAGAAATTGGATGCAAGACAGCTTTCAAAATAGCAGATCAATTTCAATAAGATGTGTTAATATTCAGCCTTTCTGGATTCAGGGAGGATGGACAAGATGGCCTGATGAAATTCCTTATAGGCTTACAAGTTATATTACTTTATTTTCAAAGTAATAGACTGTTTATGTTCAGAATAAAAGAGTGATTATTACAGAGACAGGAAGAAAGCCCTTTTACCTCTCTGCTTGCTTCTCTCAAAATACACAGATACTGATGATTTAATACTGTAGCATGTATGCATAAAGTTTTACTTTGAAATGCAAATAACAATTTCTCATCACAGTTTAATTGTTCTAGGCCAGGACTCTAATTGAAAGGTTGGGGAATGCTTCCTAATGGAGTATATGAGAACCTTAAGAAAGAGAGATTTTTCAACACACACACACACACACTCTTGAGCATTCTAATCTGTACCTCCTGAAAATGCATGCCTATTTTCCCCAATAAGTGAAGAATAATAGTGTTATAGTATGAGATAACCCCTAAAGAAATTGGCTCTCTACACAAGAGTGGGGTAGTGAATGAACAGAGTTTCAGTGCCACAGAGTTAGACCTTAGGGTTCACAAAATGAAATACTGTTACAATGGATATTTGTAAGCAAAATCATCACTAATTTTTGTACCTTGGTTGATCTAATTTACTGCTGTAAAGTGCTGTTCCTACACTGTCTATGAATGTAATCTGCTTACAAGAAGACAAATTTCATGTTGAAAAGTATTAAGGAAAGTAACACTTCAGCAGCTTTACTGAGCAAATGTCATTCTGCTTTGAGTACCATCACACGTTTCTGGACAGTGTCCAATCTTTTTTCATTTTGTTATAAATCTGTACTAGAATTTTCAAACCCCTGTGGTTGTTCATTTCAGAGAAGTCCAAATTGCATGTAGTGAAATTCAGTTTAGAAAGTGATACAGAAGGCTTATTCTGAGTATCCAAATCTCTACGGACTTAAAACAAGCTGTTTCCAAAAGGGCATAGAAAGGTTAGTAAATTAAACAGATAATATTTACATCACTTTCCCCTTTCTGAGCCATATGTTTTTAAATAAGTTAAACAGTAATTAAAAGGAGCATCAGGTTTGGGAATATACCCTATACAACCATGACACTAGAAACTTACATCACTGACATTACAGTAAATAATTATTGAGACACTAATTTCAAATTTATTCTTAATTTTACCAGGAGCTAAGCACATATAAATGTATTTTATCATGCAGTGAAAGTCAATAATTTTCACATCTCAATGAATCTGCTTTCTATGCTTCTAGCTGTTCTCATAGCTTTTATTCATCATTAACCAGTGCTATCCTCCATGTTCCAAGGCAGAGGCTAGCAAACATTTTCTGTAATGGGCCAGATAGCAAATATCAGCCTTTGTATTGCAATAACTTAACTCTCCTATTGTAGCAGGAATGCAGCCACTGACAAAATGTAAACAAATGGATATGACTGTGTTGTGTTCCAATAAAACTTTATTTACCAAAATAGGTGGCTGGCAGGATTTGGCAAAAGGGCTATCATTTGCAGACCACTGCACTAGGGCAACAAATGGGTAAATTAGTGTTATTCAACTAATTGAGCTAGACTAAGAAAATCAACCCCAATTCATATTAATAATTTTTCCATATTAAGCAAGCTTCAAACAGGGTATGTATTTGTTTAGCATTCAGAAATTATCATTATTCTCAGTACCCCATGTGAACAGAGGTGAGTTTCTTTCCTTTATTCTTTACTTTCAATCCATCTTTCCCTATTATCTCATTTTATAGACTTTTTTTAACATTTGTAGAAAGAAGGCAGTTTTTTTGTGATTACTGAGGTTTTCAGTTTCCAACTCATTTAGCACTTCAAAATGAGGTAGGAGGCATAAATTGAATTTGAAATTGCAATAGTAAGAACTGTTACACAGCATAAAGACAGGATATCAGGTCTTAGCTTTTCCATTTGTTCTGTAGTAAGTTGCAATCCCTCACACAATTTTTGCTTGTCTTCATTGTCATTTCACAATGTCATGTCGCTAGGAATCACCTGCTGAGATCTTTTAGTTTTTACTCTGTATCTAACCCAGATTACCCCAAATCTAGCTCAGCAGTCTACCCTATTCTTCTAAATACCACAGGAAAAAAGAGCCTATTTCAGATCAATTTCTTACCACACATTTAGACTAATGACATTTTCAAATATTTAACCCTTCTTCTTAACTGCTACACTTTCTGTCTGTAGTCTACATCCTTGAAATTGTACATAGGATTTAAGTGTCCCTTGCACTAGAAGACTATTTTATATTTAGTTAGATTATTCTCAATATAAAAGTTTACCAGTGAACCTCCAAACATCTCCCACTGTGGGCAGCCCTTGTTGCTAGAGAAACAGGTGGCGGGGAAAGCTAACCAGGTTTTCGGTAAGAACTTAGAAGCATAAATGATTTCATAGTTTTTCCTATCTTTCTTATTATGTTAATTAATTGAGTATTTAAGGTATTTTCTACATAATTCATTCACTAAAATCAGTCTCTAGGGTGTGAGTATCAAAAGAATGTTTTCTTCTGTCATTGATGGTGTACATACTCTGTTGGTCTCCACTTTATTTTCCCTTACTGGAATATCCTGCAGGTTCCAGAGCCTTCTATGTATGTTCACATATTAAATCATCTGGTTCAGACTACACCAATTAAAAACTTCTGTCTCATATCCAATTTAGTGGTCATCAGCCCTATGCCAGGTTGGACAAACCTCAAGTTCAAGAATTTAGAGTGGGGAAGGAATGTAATGCATTCTTGATTTCTTTCTATCCCTCTTCTTTTTCTAGTTTCTCCAGGTTTGGGTCTGGCTTGGGACAGGAGGGATTTGACTGAAAAATATCGAAAGGTTTTCTTATGAGCTGGTGCCATTATGGTTCTGTATTGATTTTGTACTCCCTGACACACAAACTCGGTCCTGGATCTCTTGTCAGATACATGCAGGAGTCCTCACAAAGCCTTGCTCCAAGGGCCACTCCATGGTTGCCTGAGGGGGAAAATATTCTCTGGTTTGTTTCTTTCCACCCAGTCCTTCACAGCTCCTTACCTGCTGACATCCCCTCACCCAATAGCAGAGCTGGCTTACCTCGAAGCTAATGAAGCTTAAGAGGCCCTCAACCTTGTACATGTCTTTCTGGGATTGGGAGTTGCTAGGAATTGCAATAATTTCTCACAATTTCCTTTGGGAAGGGAAAACAAGTTGCGATCAGGAAGCATCTCCATGTAAGCTCTAGTGTTTGATAGCACAATGGGTAAATATATTAGTTATTGATAAATTATTAGTTATCAATAATTTATTGCATGTTTCAAAACAGCTAAAAGATAAGATTTGGAATGTTCTTGACACAAAGAAATTATAAACGTTTGAAGTGATGGCTATTCCAATTATGCTAATTTGATAATCACACATTGTATGCCTGTATCAAAATATCACATGTACCCCATAAATATGTAAAATTTTTATTATACATAATTTGTATTATATATAGATTACTGCATATGTACAGTAATATATAATAATATTTAGCCCTTTACACAATTATTGTGTATCCATTTTTAAAACTATAGTACAATAGGAGGCTAACTTGAGTAATAATAAAACTCTGGTCTCCTGAAAAAAAACAAAAACTGTAGTACAATTAAAAAGAGAGTTCAGAGAAAGAGACCTGAATCTCCAAATATTAATGTAATTTGCTGTTATTTATTTTCCTATTCTAAATAAATAATCACTTTTATGTATAATTTTTCATTTGAATCTGTAAAATTTTTTTGGTTATAAAAGATCACAAAATTATATGAGCTTCAGGCCCCACAAAATCTAAACTCCCCTCTACAATTCTCTAAGACAGGATTCTGGCAAGATAATTCAAACCCAGTGTCAAAGTTTAATTTTCAAAAAGTTATAAACATGATTTTTATACAATTGTATAAACCACATACCAAAGATTCATTTAGCTCCTATACAAAGCAACCAGCATGAAGGTAAAGTTGGTTCAAAAAGAATTCAAGAGACTGAGCTTTTATAGACACTGAAAGGATGCTAAAATAAAATTGCAAGGTTTAGAGACAAAACTAGTTAATGTTCCATAGGGCAATAAAATGTAATTTTGTGATGTTTTCTACCAGTCTGTATTCATTTGCGCCTCCATCAAACCACAGCCTACAAGTGAGCATGTAACTTCACAGAGTCCTGGTCTAATTAACAGTATTAATAGTGCTAATGCACTTCATAACAATGTTTCAGTCAACAACAGACAAAACAGATGATGGTGGTCTCACAGGATTGTAATGGAGTTGAAAAGTTCCTGTTTTCTGGTGATGTTGTGGCTATTGTAACATCATAGCACAATTACTTTTGTTTTTGTAAATTTAGTATAGACTAAGTGCATGGTATTTATAAAGTCTACGGTAATATACGGTAGTATTTTAGCCCTTTACATTTGGTCACCACTCACTCACTGATTCACCCAGGGCAACCTGCAGTCCTGTAAGCTCCTTTCATAAGTACCCTATATAGGTGTACCATTTTTCTTGTCTTTTATACTGTATTTTTATACATCTTTTATATGTTTAGATACACAAATACCACTGTGTTACAATTGCCTACAGTATTCAGAACATGCTTTGGTACTACATGCTGTACAGATCTGTATTATAGCTCAGGAGCAATAGACCATACTGTATCGCCTAGGTGGATAGTAAGCTATGCCATCTGGGTTTGTATAAGTACATTCTATGATGCTTGCACAATGATGAAATTGCCTAATGAGGCATTTCTCAGAAGTGTTACTGAGTGACATATAACTGTAAATAGTAAGCCAAATAAAAGTTCACCTTCTAGAGAATTACATAATCCTTAAGCAAGCCCATTAGACAATGCTCTGGTATGATATTAAAAGAACACACAACTCTCCTTTTGTATTATTACTAAGTTTTGAATCTTTTCTGAACACCAGACACTTTTTGCATTACCAGAAGATAGGAGTTCCAGCTGCTTCACTGTAACCCTCTGCTGTCCTTAATGTTTAACAAGAAAAGGTTGTGATAAGCAAAAAAGTACTTATGCAAATATACACATGCTATTAGAAAAGAAGAAAAGGAGAAACAGGCCTGTTTTAGGTCACTGTTACTTAAACAAAAAGTAACGCATCACAACAAAACATTCTGGTAATTGTTTTCTGTTTTTCTTTTTTTCTAGAACATCCATGTTTAGAAATTATTTTGATCTAAATCTGTCTGATTAAAATAGGATATGTGTCCTTCATACCATCAATCTGTCCCTTCTTTTATACTATGAGTGCTGTAGAGCCTCTTTTGTGTTAAGCAGTGTAATGATCGTGGGATTCATAAAGACAAATAAGACATGGAAACCTTTTCCACATATTATTTTGTGTATGATAATCTCAAGTTTGTAAAACATTAAGGCATGCAGAACAAATTGTGTTTTTCCATTTATACACATAAACTGCAAGCTTAGGTTAAAACAGCCTAGGTTTCACAATTTCTATTGTTTATCTTTTTTTTTTTTGTCTCATTTCTTTCCCCCATTCTACAAGTGCCAGGTCTTCTGAAAATGGAGTGATGTGAGGTCATTTATTCTTTCTTTGAGAGTGTGACTGAAGCTGTAGGGTTTTTAGTTGCTTATAAAAGTGGATCACATATTTGAAGAGCGTAACTCTTACCAATGTTTAAGTGTCACCAGCTCTATGGTAAAGTACAAATGCAGTTTAAATTGATTTTCTAACCACTTTTATTACTGCCATCCTTGAGTGTAGCAACAAGTGCTGGGCATTTGTTTTCACAGGGCAGAAAGCATTTATTGATAGATCTTCGGCAAATAAGTGTTGTATTAAAGTCATGATTACAAATACAATTGTATTTTAATAAGAACAAATAAGATTAAATGTGAAGAAATTGTGTTCCTTACACCGAATTTGAAAAGCCTCAAAGAGTTAAAATTTCAAGGTTTGACCAATGGAAAAGACCACTATCAAATTCCACTCATATTTTTTATATCATATTTATGCAGCAAGGTCAAACAAGTAGGGGGAAGAAAATCTCATCTTCAATTTTCTCTACCCTTAGGTAATAATACATGGAGAACTCATTTACCCTGATTGATCTTCCTGGGCATAAGAGACTTCTCTGGCTTAAATCCCATCTGAAAACTATCTTTTCTCTCCTTTCTTAACAGAATGCTAATAGTATCTCTCCCTCACTCTTTTCTTCAAAGAACAAGCACTCTAAATATGACCTGGTAATATGTTTTTTTGACTGTTTTGCTTTCCTTCAAAAACTATTTATTAATGGTTTTTTTTAGTAGGAAAAGATGTGTTAAAGCCTGTTTATTTTGTAAATAGAAGCATTTATTTTTGACCACTTATAGATTGAATTCATGCACCAAAAAAATGCGTAAAAATGGTAAATTGTGTTAACCACTATGATTTTTACATATAATTAAACATGCCACTGTTAAAATTGTGTGAAAAGCTTGACAAACAAAATGAAAACAGAGCAAAGTTAAATGTGGAACAAAATGTGAGATATTCAGAATCCTTTGGCTTTGGGTTTACAATATTCTTAAAAAACAAGTTTAAGTGATTAATTTAGAAAGAAAACAAACCAATCCTTTTGGTTGAGTAGTAAACAAAGTTCACAAGCCTTACATTTTTTTCCTGGCCCATTTGCTGGTAGATATTGTACCTTAAGAAAACTGCTTAACCTTTTATTCTAGAAAAATAAAGTAAAAATTGTTCCCACCTGCCTACCTAAACCTTGAGTGATTTGAAGCCAAAACTTAACACTTGGTAAAGACTTGAGAGTATATAAACTACATGAGAAAACACTGGACAATAAATCTGGGTATTGGTTACTGACAGTAAAATGCAGTCATGGCTTTAAGCAAGTACCGTCCAGATACTACCACCACTAACTGCCATTGACCTAATAATTACCAAGTGTTGTCTGTGCTGGGATATGCATAGTTGCATTGTTCTCATACGAATTTATCTTAAAATGATGTTACTACTTAAAATATCTTTATAATATAGTTTTAAATTTTTGTTTCAAAAATGATAAAATGGAGTATAAATGAATTAAGATATTGGTTCAAATCGGCACTAATAATAAAGACAGGATAAATTCTAATTTTTTAGACTTTAATTCAATGCTCTCTCTCCTAGGATCTGAAATGTAAATCAAGCATTTGTTTCATCACAAATAATAAAGTTTAGTTCTCTTCTTGTAAATTTGTTTAAGTTCCTTGTAGATTCTGGGCAAAAAGAAGACATTTATGTGACCAACAAACATATGAAAAAAAGCTCATCATAACAGGTCATTGGAGAAATGCAACTCAAAACCACAATGAGATACCATCTCATGCCAGTTAGAATGCTGATCATTAAAAAGTCAGGAAACAACAGATACTGGAGAGGATGTGGAGAAATAGGAATGCTTTTACACTGTTGGTGGAAGTGTAAATTACTTCAACCATTATGGAAGACAGTGTGGCGATTCCTCAAGAATCTAGAATGAGAAATACCATTTGACCCAGCAATCCTATTACTGGGTATATACCCAAAGGATTATAAATAGTAGCATGATTATAAATCATGCTACTATAAAGACACATGCACATGTATGTTTATTGCAGCACTATTCACAATAGGAAAGACTTGGAACCAACCCAAATGCCCATCAATGATAGACTGGATAAAGAAAATGTGGCACATATACACCATGGAATACTGTGTACCCATAAAAAAGGATGAGTTCATGTCCTTTGCAGGGACATGGATGAAGCTGGAAACCATCATTCTCTAAACTAACACAGAACAGAAAACCAAAGACCACATGTTCTCACTCGTAAGTGGGAGTTAAATAATGAGAACACATGAACACAGGGAGAGGAACAGCACACACCGGGGCCTGTCAGGGGGTTGGGGGCTAAGGGAGGGATAGCATTAAGAGAAATACATGACGTAGATGATGGGTTGATGGGTGCAGCAAACCACCATGGCACATGTATACCTATGTAACAAACCTGCACGTTCTGCACATGTATCCAGGAACTTAAAGTATAATAATAAAAAAAAAGATTAGTTCTCTAAACTGAATGATTTAGTAACTATTTTTAGCAGTGGGACTTACACATAAGGACTAGGCTACATATAAAAATTATAGCTTCATCATTTTAGATTACTCTAACAGTCAAGAGGTATGTGTTTTGCCCTTCCTCTTAAGTATGCCACTAACCATTTCTGAACCTCACTTTCATCATTTGTGTAGAGGGGGAATTAAACTAGACTGGAATTTTCAAAGCTATTTTTCAAGTATAGTAATAAGCATTCCTTGGGGAAAAAGAGGCAGGTAAGGAGAAATTTCTCTAAGACAAATTCATAAAATGTCACATGTTCCTTTCTCCCTCTTGGAGTTTCAAAAGCAATCCTCTAAAAAAAGAACCCATTCAACTCTGCTTAGAAGTAACTAAACTAATTTCATTGAGAAAAATAAAGTATTTTTCCAGGAATACCTATTAACTATTAACATCACATAAAACATTCTCTTTCTCAGAAATAGAGTGAAGAAATTCTATAACAAATGATATAAACAAGGCCCAACAAGTGAAATTTGTTTCTACTTTTAGAAGACTTCTATAGTGGAAGACTGTACAGCAACAATTGGGAAAGTCTTTGAGTTTAGTATGTTTCAATACCAAGAATCCTTTCTTCATATCTCACCTAACTTACCATGTGCTTTAAGATATGTGATTTTGTCTTTTCAGTCTGAGATTAATAGAACTTATGACAAATACAATTGAAATGCAACAAAATTGGCAGAAAATCATGCCTAAAATACTTGAGTTCAGTCTTGAGGTAGGACATCATCTGGCTGTTAGACCTATGTGGTGGGATTGTGCCTGAATAGCCACCTGACTAATTTGTTTCCCCTTTTCTCTCTCACAAATTCTCTGGGCTTTTTTATTTCCTTCTCTAGTCTACCCATCCACTTAGAAACACAAATTAAAGCCTCAAAAATGTTCTAGACCTAAATGTGAGCCACAAATATTTATATGCATGATTGTAGAATGACATTTTCTTCTCCCATGGAGAAAACTGAAGATCACCAAGACCTGTCTAATCCTAAATATTTAAGAATCTTAGACTACTTCCAGTGCTATTTTCTATAATCTAGAAGTATATAATCTAATTGAAGTATTAAGAGGATGCATGCTGAATTAAATATATTGAGGATTATTTTCCTGTTTTATACTCTATCATTGTATGTATTAAACATCTATTACCATGCATATAGAAGGCTACTGGAAAATCTTTTAACATGTTAGTCAGATGAAATAAAAACCCAGATAATGCTAGGATGGAGCAAATCACACTGACAGGTAAATCATCCTTAAGTTGAAATAGACAGAAGAGATTACTTAGATGTCCTCACACTGCAGTTCTCCATTGCTGGGCTTGACTATCTATTGCCTGTTCTACTTTACAACTTTGTAAGGTTGGAGGTTAACTGTAGATTTTTGTCCAGTAGAAATGAGAATAACTTGTTTTGAACAAAAAGTACCCTAAATGTTACAATTTATGGTCCTGTTGGACATTAACCATTTTTATATCCAACCCAGCAATCTTAATATTGCTTCTCAAACGTTCTTTAAATTACTGTTGGCATCTTACTATTTTCCTCATTAATCATTGAGTTAAATAAAATCTTGACATGCATTCATATTGTATTTGCAGGAGTCATGATTTTACCATTATGAAATTATACTTTATCAAAATTGTCTTCCAGTTTCCTTCCTCTCATCATTTTTAAATAAAAATAAGTGGATTAAAATGAAGACAAAGTACACATTGAAGTAAGAAAGCAGTCACAGTGGAGAAGGAGAAAGACAATGTCAACCCTCTTGCTTCAGCACTAGGGAGAAGGACATCACTTCTCTGTCAGCAAGGTGTGCTCCATCATCCCACAGATTTTTTTTTTTTTTTGAGATGGAGTCTTGCTCTGGCCCCCAGGCTGGAGTGCAGCGGTGTGATCTCGACTTACAGCAAGCTCCACCTCCCGGGTTCATGCCAGTCTCCTGCCTCAGCCTCCCAAGCAGCTGGGACTACAGGCACCCGCCACCAGGCCCAGCTAATTTTTTGTATTTTTAGTAGAGACAGAGTTTCACTGTGTTAGTCAGAATGGTCTCGATCACCTGACCTAGTGATCTGGCCACCTCGGCCTCCCAAAGTGCTGGGATTACAGGCGTGAGCCACTGGGCCAGACCCATCCCACAGATCTTCTATCTTGGGAACCATGGCCAGCTTCATGGACATGGGGCCAGTGCAGCAGCACAGGACGCCTTGCTCACAAGGGCCTTCACTAGGAGTGTAATGCTATGAAGTGGTCATCTGAAAATTCTTAACATAATATCTTCAATTTTAGCTTTTGTAAGTGAAGTAAGTTAGAACAATTCTGCAGGTGTCAGGGCCCTGGAGTCACAGATTACATTTAGTCCCACTGTCACCACCTCGCCATGTCTCCAGGGAAAGTTCTCAGCTACCTGCTTTTTCTCTCCAACCCAATAACCCATGGCCATCTCCACTCGTAGCGGGGGTCTGGGTGTGGAGATAGGGAGAGTCAGGGTTGGGTACATACACCACTTGTGCTCAACTCAGGACAGGGTCTCAGTTGCCTGTGAAGTTCTGCTCTCACCCCATGAGTGTCCTCATGACTGAGAAAATGAATGGCATTAAACAGCAAATAAAAAACGTGGTAACAGCTTGCAAGAGAGAGAGAGACTACAACAGAGAGTCAAAAGTTGTTGTAATGCTTTTTGAATTAGGGACTCCTCATTGTCATCTTGAACTGGGCCCCATATATTATGTGACTGGTCCTGTGGGGGATGAAGAACAGGGATTCTCAATGTTGCACTGATTGATGTGTCCAGTCCCCACAGACATGGATTGGCCACTGCAAATATATCAAGTTAATTTATCGTTGATCTTCAAATCTTTGTTTAGCTTCAAATGTGTTTATTTTTATCCTAATGATATGTACTCAGAGAACAAAATAAGTCCTAATAGTACTGCTTGAGGTTATTGAAGGATTCTATAATAATTACAGGGATTTTACAGAATACTTACTCCCTATTTGTTAGTTTTAAACTAATCTACAGAAATCCATTAGGCTATTCTCTCTGCTTAGAATTTAGACAGTGGAAATAAACAAAAATTCCTCATGCTCTTTTTTAAATGCAAATTCATAAAAGCCGGGTTAGGAATACTTTAAATCTGGTTTCTAAGATTTTTACTGGTGTTACCATCTGTATTGATTTTATATTATGAAATTGTCCTTAGACAAAGAAACATCCATACTCAGGTCAGTTTTACAAGCACATCAAAAGAGAGCCTACTATGCTAGTCATTTTGCAAGGCATAAAAATAATGCAAATAATAAATCACAAACCTTATACTCAAGAAGCTTAAGGGGGGGATGAGGATACCACAATATGACATATAAGTGACAAAATATATTGATGCTATATTGAAAAATATATCACTGTGAAAACACTCAGAAAAACAACAATATAAACAGATTTGTAAGTGGAATATATTATTGTGCATCATCACCACAAGCTCAATTTTGATGTATTATGCTATTATTTAAAAATTACATATTACTTCTATATAACCACAAGTACGCTTTGTGTAATATAGATCTACTTTTCACATATTCCTACCAAGTTCTTCTCCTTTTGGATTTGCATTACTGACTAAAACATCTAAAACTGCCAAGTAAGGAAAAATTCCAATGAAATTTCTGAGCTGCCTAGCATGGCTGAGTGGAGACTTAATAGTGGTGAACATCATCAACCCTTTTGAGCCTGTCTGGGGGAGATTTTTACTGAGAGGAAGAGTGAAGTTTATCAAGGGTCATCTGGCAGGAGAGTCTTTTATTAGAGTTTCGAGAAACCTCTGAAATATTCTGCCTTCACCTTTCGAGCCTTGTAGAACAGAGAACTGCAGATCGCATAGCTAATATTCAAACTGAAATTGTACCACATAGGTATGAGAAATCAACTTGACATCAAAGGTTATCCATCTTCCCACACTGCTTTTCTTGCTCAAATCTCAATTCCACAGGTGCTTTTATTTTTGAGTTCACTTTTTGGAGTAAGAAAAAAAGAAAGTTTCCACACATACCCCTGCATTTTCCCCCAATTAGATGCATCTTGCAAATCCAGCTGTGATTCTTTTGTTGTCTCTCAGATGCAGACATATAAGCCCATAACCAAGACTACGAAAATAAAGAATTGTATTTGCCCTTGAAAATATTATGATGTAAGCTACCAACCTTTATTTTCATCTGAAGCTCTCTTCTAATAATGTGCACTAATAATTTCTCTGATATCTTAGTCTTTTTCACAGAATATTCCTAGAAAAAGCAGATAAATGTCAAATTAAAATAGCCCCAAAGAGCACATATAAATATAGAAGACAAATATAAAAAGCATGTTACAAAGGTCTTTCTTTATTATAATTAGTGAAAGCAGAAAAAATTCATAATGTGACAGAAATTCTAGTGGTACTTGTGACAGTACAATCTCACATAACCTAAAACTAAGCTGCAAAAGCCAACCTTATCAAACACTGTTGAGTGATTTTTTTAACTTACTCTGCTGCTTAAAAGCTATGCGATTTGAGGCACATCACTTCACCTCTCAAAATTTGTTTTTGAGGGAGGAGATACCAATACGAGCTAGGATTACTCCCCAGGGCTGTAAGAGGCTGACATAGAACTGCATGTATGGGAATGCTTTCAATTGCAAAACATCATACAAATGCAAGGACATTTTATTATATCTGCACAGAATGTTGAAAAAGAGAGAATGTGAAGGCTGATTTCAACAAGCAGCCTCTGTTTTGCTTATGGGGATTAATTATGGATTTCTACATTTCCAAAATATTCACAAATTCATTTAAATAGTGAGATTCAGAACCAAATGAAACATGGTGAATTGATCAAAACTCCAAAAATTTTTCCAAACTTGCTTATCGTCACTTGTGTCAGGATCACATCCATGCTTTTGATGAGAATATTCAGAGAGAAGTAAATTCCTCTTACCATTGGGTAGCATTGCCAATGTCAAGTCACTGTTTCTCTCTCCTCCAGAAACATCTTAATATGTGGCTATACCACAGTTTTAAAAATATATTCTATTGTCCATTAACACCACACAGGCTACTTCTACACAGTAGTCCACAATTATCCACAGTTTCACTTTTGGGGTTTCAGTTACTGGCAGTCAACTGCAGTCCAAACATATTAAATTAAAAAATTCCAAAAATAAACAATTAATAAGTTTTAAATTGGGGACACTCCTGAATAACATGATGAAGTCTCTGCTGTCCTGCTCCATGGGACATGAATTATCCCTTAGTGTAGCATGTCTATGCTGTATATGCAACCCATCCGCCAGTCAGTAGACATCTTGGTTATCAGACCAACTGTCACATTATCAAAGAACTCGTGTTCAAGTGACACTTATTTTACCTAAAGTGATGCTGGCATATTGTTGCAACTGTTCTATTTTATTGCTAATTATTGTTGTTAATCTCCTGCTTACCTAATTTATTAATTAAGCTTTATCATAAGTATGTACCAAAAGGAAAATATATATACATATATAAAAGTCCTAGTACTGTCTACAGTCTCAAGCATCCACTGGGGGTCCTGGATTGTATCCCCCACAGATAAGGGGAAACCACTGTATTATTGCCAGATAAACCCCTTGCAGGGGGAAGGTAATAATAAAAAAATAGCTAACATCATTGATTGCTTACACTGTATTAATTACTCTATACGTATTATCTCAGTTAATCCTTGTAACAATGCTATGTGGTTCAAGCTATGGTTATCTCCATTGTATAAATAGCTAAGCTAAGGTACAGAGAGGTTAAACGATCCACCCAAGATCACAGCAATAGTAAAAGGGGCAGGGATTAAACTTCAGGCAGTCAGCTTAGCCTCTGCTGTATACTTTCACCCTTTACTGCTTCCTATGGCATGTTCTACTGAAACGGCTCTTATGCTGTTGCTATTGCTTTGAGCAGCAACCAGTTTTTTTTTCCATAAGTTATTAGGGTACAGGTGGTATTTGGTCACATGAGTAAGCTCTTCAGCCATGATTTGTGAGATTTTGGTGCACTCATCACCTGAGCAGTATACACTGCACCATATTTGTAGTCTTTTATCCCTCACCCCCTCCCACTCTTCCCAAGTCCTCACAGTCCTTTGTATCATTCTTATGCCTTTGCATCCTCATAGCTTAGTTCCTACCTATCGATGAGAACATATGATGTTTTGTTTTCTATTCCTGAGCTACTTCACTTAGAATAATAGTCTCCAATCTCATCCAGGTCGCTGCAAATGTTGTTCATTCATTTATTTTTATGGCTGAGTAGTATTCCATTGTGTACATACATACTACAGTTTCTTTAGCCACTCGTTGATTGATGGGCATCTACCAGTTTTTAAGTGCTTTGCAATGCTTCATGAAGGATAACTTCTTTAATTATCTCATTAGTGCACATTTTAAAAATAGACATTGCAACCCCTATGTTATAAAATAATGAAACTGAGGTTAAACACTTTGCTCAAGCTCACAGAGCAGGTGGCATAAGTAGCTTAGCTGGGATTTTAGCCCATATCCGTTTGAATTCTGCGGTTCATATTCTTTCGACAATTTGATGGTAAAATGCCCATGATTCTTTTCACTGGCACTCGTGATATTTACTATTACAGGCTGTGTTTTCTGGGTCTTACTTACTCATACTTTCTAACTACTGGTTATAATGAGCCGTTCCCCCAGATCTTACAAATACCAAGGAAGGTCCAAAAGCCAAACTATGGTGCTGTTTATGTTTTTATGAAAATCAGGCAAATCAACCCAGCTGACACAGCCACCATTTTTTGGCTCCACAGAAAATCATTTACGCAAGTTAGAATTGAAATAGAAAAAGCTCTTTACTCATGAATAAGTTTTTATACATTTTCATGCAGACCTGTTACATTACCAGATGACTCTTACAAGAGAAAGAAGGACAATTTGATACCTGGGTGCTTGTCAAAGGGTTATATTTTCCCTGCTCATCAAAAATGAAATGCACTTTGCACTGGTGAAATCCTCTGTTAAAATTGAAAACAAACCAATTAAAAATAAAAATTACAATGGTGTATAAATGTTACCTATTAGTGTGAGAAAGCAGGGGCAGAAAATCTTAGGTTGGGACACAGTGGGATCACACGACCTTTTCTTCTGCCAGCTGCACAAAGATTAGAAAGGACAGAATATCTGCCTTCATGGCTCTTGTGGAGGAACAAAGCTTATCGATAGTATCTTACACAAAGTAAGAATTATCGATCTTACACAAAGTAAGAATTCTACCCTATAAAGGATAAATACAAAAATAGAAAGGCCCTTTTGAGCCAAAAGCATTCTGTAAGCACAGGAAAGGTAAAATGTTAAGCATATATCCCAAAGTTATTTTTTGAAATAGCCAACTTAATCTCTGTAGCCTGTGTTAAATTTTTTAAGAGAAATCAAAGAACGATATAAGTATAAACTGGTTTACTGCAATAGGAAGAGTCCATGAAGCTAAACTAAGCAAATGTGCAAAGTATTCACCATGGTGAAGATTGTTTTTATTTTAGAAACCTGGCAGTATCTGTTGGCATAATATGACAGTAACTGCCTCATCTTACTGGCTGTTTTTCTTTTTCTATGGCTCTGTCTACTGTAGCCTGAAATTGTCACTTTACTTGTCTGTTAAATCATAAGCAATAAAGGAACTGGTTGTTGTTTTAATTGTACTAACAAGAGGAAAGTATGAGGGGAGAAATTCATGTTTTGCTCTATTTGCCTTGCATTTTTGGATCCAGTGTTCTGATTTATACTGTGACTTATGCTGCTTCAAGACTCAGAGCTAAATTATAAAGTCAGTTTTCAGCTTCAGCAAATCCTCTCTGGGTCCTGCTGTGTTTCCCTTAATGGCAAGGACTAGTGGATTCCATCTGTAAGAAAGCATGTTTTGCATATGAACTACCACAAGGCAAAAGACAAGGCAGAAAAATTGCAAATCAACAGTTCCTTTTCCTGTTGTGTTTGTGGTTGTTTTTTGTTTCTTTTAAACACAGGAGGGAAATCAGCAAGTGATTTCAGAAGAAATCTTTTTTATTGTGGAATTGGAAGAATAATTATTTGATGTTTTGTATGCATATACTTGAAAGCAAAATGCCATTGCTTAATATAAATATAACAGTAGGCTTTAAGATCTGAACTAATCTTGCTAAGATGCACAGCATAAGAAACAGTGGGTTTCTTCAGCTGCTGACTTATACAATACTCTTCCTTGTTGTTCTAGGTTTGTTTATTCTGATGTGAACATAAGTTCATCCCAGCTAGTGGAGAGTCTACTGAGAATACATAAGTATTTCAATTTTACTTCAAATTAAAATGGGGGAAGGAATTAAACTTCCACTGGAAAAAAAAACTGTTACTGTTCTTTATACTGGCCCAAAGGTAGAACAATATTCTCTTTATATTTTGTTTCTCTTAAACCAGATTTAATCTTCCTTCCACTGGGCAGAGTAACAAAAACATTAATAACTTACTGCCACCTACAGATGGAAGATAAGTGTTTGAAAATTCCTGCTACTAGCAAGAAAAATGAACCTGGAGTTCACACTAAAGACCCATAGGTCAAAGAACATAGATCTTATAGGTGCTCAATGTGAGAAATGAATACTTTCCTACCATCAGTAATTAGACTTTGCTTGTAGTTTGAGATTTAAATGAAATTAAAGCTACTGAAAAAATATTCTCCAATGGTATATTCAAGTCATTTTCTTCTCATAAAAGTTTCTTCCTAATGGCAATGAGTTGTCAGTTACTACAGTCTAAGTTTTAAGGAGAGGGTGAAAAAAAATGAAAACCCATAGTCTGTGACAAGCTTGGTGCCAGTCAACATTTGCAATAAGCTGTCCCCTCGCCCAGACCCAGGAATGCCACCTCTCGGTCCTGTGAGCAAGCTGCGCCAGGAGCAGAAAGCAATGCCATTTTCGTGTTATTCTTTCTTGAAGCCACATACCACCAACTTTTCTTGGCACATGTCTGAAGCATCTCAGAGCTACTTCTCACATTTCTCAATGTGCAATTAAATGAATATTTCTTTTCTCCTTGTATACAGTATTTATGCACTTTTTTTAGTCCTTTTTTAATTTTCTTTTATAAAGTTAAAGAGTTCATATGACTTTGTTACATGATTGGGTTTTATTGCTTTTTCAAATTAGCATTTCTTTTTTTTTTATACTTTAAGTTTTAGGGTACATGTGCACAATGTGCAGGCTAGTTACATATATATACATATGCCATGTTGGTGTGCTGCACCCATTAACTCATCATTTAACATTAGGTATATCTCCTAATGCTATCCTTCCTCCCTCCCGCCTCCCCCTTCCCCCCACCCCACAACAGGCCCCTGTGTGTGATGTTCCCCTTCCTGTGTCCAAGTGTTCTCATTGTTCAATTCCCACCTATGAGTGAAAACATGCGGTGTTTGGTTTTTTGCACTTGCAATAGTTTGCTGAGAATGATGGTTTCCAGCTTCATCCATGTCCCTACAAAGGACATGAACTCATTCTTTTTTATGGCTGCAAAGTATTCCATGGTGTATATGTGCCACATTTTCTTAATCCAGTCTATCGTTGTTGGGCATTTGGGTTGGTTCCAAGTCTTTGCTATCGTGAATAGTGCCACAATAAACATACGTGCGCATGTGTCTTTATAGCAGCATGTTTTATAATCCTTTGGGTATATACCCAGTAATGCGATGGCTGGGTCAAATGGTATTTCTAGTTCTAGATCCCTGAGGAATCACCACACTGACTTCCACAATGGTTGAACTAGTTTACAGTCCCACCAACAGTGTACAAGTGTTCCTTTTTCTCCACATCCTCTCCGCACCTGTTGTTTCCTGACTTTTTAATGATCACCATTCCAACTGGTGTGAGATGGTATCTCACTGTGGTTTTGATTTGCATTTCTCCGATGGCCAGTGATGATGAGCATTTTTTCATGTGTTTTTTGGCTGCATAAATTTCTTCTTTTGAGAAGTGTCTGTTCATATCCTTTGCCCACTTTTTGATGGGGTTCTTTGTTTTTTTCTTGTAAATTTGTTTGAGTTCTTTGTAGATTCTGGATATTAGCCCTTTGTCAGATGAGTAGATCGCAAAATTTTTCTCCCGTTCTGCAGGTTGCCTGTTCACTCTGATGGTAGTTCCTTTTGCTGTGCAGAAGCTCTTTAGTTTAATTAGATCCCATTTGTCAATTTTGGCTTTTGTTGCCATTGCTTTTGGTGTTTTAGACATGAAGTCCTTGCCCATGCCTATGTCCTGAGTGGTATTGCCTAGGTTTTCTTCTAGGGTTTTTATGGTTTTTGGTCTAACATCTAAGTCTTTAATCCATCTTGAGTTAATTTTTGTATAAGGTGTAAGGAAGGGATCCAGTTTCAGATTTCTACATATGGCTAGCCAGTTTTCCCAACACCGTTTATTAAATAGGGAATCCTTTCCCCATTTCTTGTTTTTGTCAGGTTTGTCAAAGATCAGATAGTTGTAGATATGCAGCATTATCAAATTAACATTTCTTACATTTTTCTAAGTCTATAATGTAAATTTGGAAAAGAAAATTAAGAGAATATACAGGAAGATTCTTGAAGAAACATTGAAGATTGGTCTATAGTCTGAATGTTGGTGTACCATCAAAATTTATATGTTGGAATGTATACCCAATGTGATAATACTTAGAAGTAGGACCTTTAGGGGGTGACTAGGTTACAAGGGCTCCACCATTACGGATGGGATTAGTGTCCTTCCCCTATAAAAGAGACTTGAGGGGTCTGTTTGTCCCTTCTGTCATACGTGTCCATGTGAAGAGACCACCAAACAGGCTTTTTTATAAATATAGAGCAATAAATATAAATAAATATAAATAAAGAGCAATAAAGCTGTTTATTTCACGTGGGTGCAGGCGGGCTGAGTCTGAAAAGAGAGTCAGCCAAGGGAGACAGGGTGGGGCTGTTTTATAGGATTTGGGTGGGTAGTGGAAAATTACAGTCAAAGGGGGTTTCTCTCTTGCAGGCAGGGGCGGGGGTCACAAGGTGCTCAGTGGGGGAGCTTCTGAGCCAGGAGAAGGAATTTCACAAGGTTAATCGCTCAGTTAAAGGGGGGCAGAAACAAATCACGATGGTGGAATTTCATCAGTTAAGGCAGGAACTGGCCACTTTCACTTCTTTTGTGATTCTTCACTTGCTTCAGGCCATCTAGATGTATACGTGCAAGTCACAGGGGATATGATGGCTTAGCTTGGACCCAGAGGCCTGACACCTTCCACCATCTTTGAAGTAAGCCCTAATCAGACAATCTGCTGGCACCTTGATCTTGGACTTTGCAGCTTCTAGAACTCTGACCAATAAATTTCTTTTGTTTATAAATTACCCAATCTATGTTATTTCGCTGTAGCAGCAGGAGCAGACTAAGAGATAATCTAAGATGTAGTAAAAGGCAATGACTAAGAATAGATTCACATACAGGTAGGTAGGTGGTTGAATTTGGATGAGGTTATTTACAGACATACCTTGGAAACATTGTGGATTTGGTTCCAGACCACTGCAATAAATCCAGTATGACAATAAAATGAGCAGATGAAATTTTTGGTTTCTCAGTGCAATAAAAGTTATGTTTACACTTAACTATAGTATATTAAGTGCACAAGAATATTATGTCTAAAATAAAATGCACATACCTTAATTTAAAAATACTTTATTACTAAAAAATGCTAATGACCATTTAAGCCTTCGGCAAGTCCTAATCTTTTGCTGGTAGAGAGTCTGTCCTTGATATTGATCACTGCTGACTAACCAGAGTAGTGGTCACTGAAGGTTAGAGTGGCTGTGGCAATAAGATAATAATAAAGTTTGTCACATTGACTCTTCTTGTCATGAAAGATTTCTCTGTAGTACCCAATGCTGTTTAATAGCATTTAACCCATTAATTGAAACCCAGAACTTGTTTCAAATCCTGCCACTGCTTTATCAACCAGGTTTATGTATACTCTAAATCCTTTGTCATCATTTCAACAATATTCATAGCATCTTCACTGGTAGAGTCCATCTCAATAAACCAATTTCTTTGCTCATTTATAAGAAGCAACTCCTCAAACTCAAGTTTGATCATGAGATAATAGCAATTCAGTCGTATCTTCAGGCTCCATTTCTAATTCTAGTTCTCTTGCTTTTTCAGCCACATCTGCAATTATGTGTTCCACTGAAGTCCCGAACCCTCAAAGTCATCCACATGGATTGTAATCAACTTCTTCCAAACTCCTCTTAATGTTGATATTTTGACCTTTTCCCATGAACCATGGATGTTCTTAATGCATCTAGAATGGTGAATCTTTTCCAGTTTTCAATTAACTTTTCCTAGATCCATCAAAGGAATCACTACCTATGGCAGTTATAGCCTTACAAAATGTAATTCCTTTTTTTTTTTTTAATTTTACTTTAGGTTCCAGGATACATGTGGAGAACATGCAGGTTTGTTACATAGGTATACATGTGCCATGGTGGTTTGCTGCACCTATCAATTCGTCATCTAGGTTTTAAGCCCCACATGCATTAGCTATTTGTCCTAATGCTTTCCCTTCCCTTACCCCCCACTCCCCTACAGGCCATGGTGTGTGTTGTTCCTCTGTGTCCATGTGTTCTCACTGTTCAACTCCCAGTTATGAGTGAGAACATGTGGTGTTTGGTTCTCTGTTCCTGTGTTACTTTGCTGAGGATGATGGCTTCCAGCTTCATCCATGTCCCTGCAAAGGACATGATCACATTCCTTTTAATGGCTGCATAGTATTCCATGGTGTATATGTACCACGTTTCCTTTATCCAGTATATCACTGATGGACATTTGGGTTGGTTCCAGGTCTTTGTTACTGTAAATAGTGCTGTAATAAACATACATGCAGATGTGTCTTTATAGTAGAATAATTTGTATTCCTTTGGGTATGTACCCAATAATGGGATTGCTGGGTCAAATGGTATTTCTGGTTCTGGATCCTTGAAGAATTGCCACACTGTCTTCCCCAATGGTTGAACTAATTTACATTCCCACCAGCAGTGTAAAAGCACTCCTATTTTTCCACAGCCTCACCAGCATCTATTGTTTCTTGACTTTTTAATAATCACTATTCTGACTGGCATGAAATGGTATCTCATTATGGTTTCAATTTGCATTTCTCTGATTATCAGTGATGTTGAACTTTTTTTCATGTTTGTTGGCTGCGTAGATGTCTTCTTTTGAGAGTTGTCTGTTCATATCCTTTGCCCACTTTTTGATGGGGTTGTTTTATTCTTGTAAATTTGTTTAAGGTCCTTTTAGATTCTGGATATTATACCTTTGTCAGATAAGCAGATTGCAGAAATTTTCTCCCATTCTATACGATGCCTGTTCACTATGATGATTGTTTCTACAAAAAGTGTTTCTACATAATAAGACTTGAAAGTCAAAATACACCTGGACCCATAGGCTTCTGAATGGAAGATGTATCAGCAAGCATGAAAACAACATTAGACTCCTTGTATTCATCTATCAGAACTCTTGAGTGTCCAGGTGCATTGTCAGCGAACACATTTCAAAGGGAATCTTCTTTCTGAGCAGTAGATCTCAATAGTGGGCTTAACTTATTCCATAAACCATGCTGTAGAGATCCTGTAATCCAGGCTTTTTTGCTGCATTTGTAGAGCACAGGCAGAGTAATTTTTGGAATGGTAAGTGAGCACTGACTTCAACTTAAAGTCATTAGCTGCATCACTTTCTAACAGGAGAGTCAGCCTGTCCTTTGAAGTTTTGAAAACAGGCATTGACTTCTCTTCTCTACCTATGAAAGTCCTAGAAGGCATCTTCTTCCAATATAAGGCTGCTTTCGCTACATTGAAACTCTGTTGTTTAGTGTAGCCACTTCCATCAATGATCTTAGTTAGATCTTCTGAATAATTTGCTGTAGCTTGTACATCAGCACTTGCTGCTTCACCTTGCACTTTTATGTTATGAAGAGAGGATTAAGTTTCAACATGAACATTGTGGGGGCCACAAACATTCAAACCATAGCAAACCTCGTGTAACATAGGCCTCCTTCCTCCTCCACTATGACCATTATTCTCTTCCATTGCCAGATTTTCTTCCTCTATAGTTTATTTCATAATCTGTATTTATATTATTTTTTCTCTTTTGTCACTTGTAGAGTATATATCTGTTCAGGTAGACTGATAGCTTAATTGGTATGGAACCATAGCTGTTCCATTCATAATTTATTTCCAACACCTAACATAGGTCTGGAACACTCTCAATAAATATTTGTTCACTCAAAATGAATTATATTAGTTGATTGTGACCACAGATTTGACTCCCCACATTAGCACATTAGCTTGACTATTAACCATGGTCATAGATTATATAAACATCTATCTATAAACGTCTTGAAAATTCTTGTTCTTGAATTAAGGAGAAACAAGAAAGAGGATAAATATGGGTCAATTCAAAGTCTTTGCTAATTAAAAATCAACCCAAATTTATGCCTCTCAGTAAGTTGCACTAAATTGTTTGTCTGTCATAATCAGATTTTACAGAAAATGTATGTTGTCAATATGATGGCCTTCAACTGACCTTGTTTCTTTACTAAAAACAGAACTTTTTGATAAAATGTTTGAGTGTCAAGTCTAGCTTTCATACATTTATTTTGTTGATAGCTCAGGAATTTTGGCATCAGAGAGAGCAGTACTCTAGAGTGGAGAAAGTACTTAAGAATATTGTAAGTTAGAACCTAATATACATGGTATCCAAACAGGATTTTTCTTTAACTTTTAGGCGCTGTAGCATAAATGATTTTTCAGATTTATAGTTTGAATAAAGAATTTAATTCACTGAATACGAGAAATAGCTTTCAGCATAGCAGGCAAGCTTCATTCTGTCAACAAACAGTTATTGAGCTTTTATTATTTAATAGAAGAATACAATTACTCTACAATATTTGTGAATTCCTATTTAAAAATTTACCTACTAAAATGTATTTGTAACCCCAAAATCAATACTGGTAGCATTTTGGCAATCATTTGAGGTCATTCACAGATATGCACAGAGACAACATTTTAAGTCACTTGAGAAGCAAGCTCTGAGCTGAGGCCAAACAAGGTTGCACTCTGCCTTGTTGTTCCAGCTCTTGCACATAAACAAGTGTCCTTTTTGAGGTCTGTTCAGTGAAGCCACATTTTTTTACATTTTCTGTTTTTTGTTGGTAATTTCACTGTTTAAAATAGCCCATAAATGTAGTGTGGAAGTGTTATCTAGTGTTCCTAAGTACAAGAAGACAGTAATGTGTCTTTCAAAAAAATATTGTCTTACATAAGCTTCATCCGGGCATGAGTTATAATGCTATTGGCTATGAGTTCAGTGTTAATTGATCATCAATATAGTACATCCAGAAAAAGGAAGAGCAAATTTATCAATCTGTGCAAAAGGACACTCCAGAAAATGCTAAAGTAACATCTGTAATGTGTGATGAAGCTATAGTAAAAGTGGAAAAGTGGTTAAATTTGTAGTTTCATGAGATGATAACCAATATTTAAAAGGTGTATTGGAGACCACTGTTGTAAGGCTAAAAGCCAAAAAAAAATTTTAGTCACACTATCCAGGGGCGGGAAAATTTTAAACTTTTTTGGCAAGTGCTGGCTAACTTGCACATTTCAAAAGGCAGTATGTGTGGGAAATACGTGTTAAACTTGCAGACAAGGCAAGTTTTGCAGATAAGGAGGCTATGGAAGATGAATATGGTAATTAGCTTGATTAAATAATTTCATAATGTATGTATGTATATCAAAACATCACATTGCACTTGTGTCTTATAAAGACATCCAATTGTCAATTAAAAATAAAATACATATAGAAAATAATGCTTTAAATACCCACCAAACGTTCTATGGGAAAAAGTTTATGTGGAAAAGCAGTGTCATGCACGTCCATGTGAAGAGACCACCAAACAGGCTTTGTGTGAGCGATAAAGCTTTTTAATCACCTGGGTGCAGGTGGGCTGAGTCCAAAAAGAGAGTCAGAGAAGGGAGATAGAGGTGGGCCGTTTTACAGGATTTGGGTTGGTAATGGAAATTATAGTCAAAGGGGGTTGTTTCTGGCAGGCAGGGGCGGTGGTCACAAGGTGCTCAGTGGAGGAGCTTCTGAGCTAGGAGAAGGAATTTCACAAGGTAATGTCACCAGTTAAGGCAGGAACCAGGCATTTTCACTTCTTTTGTGATTCTTCAGTGGCTTCAGGCCATCTGGATGTACACATGCAGGCTTGGGCTCAGAGGCCTGACATTCCTGTCTTCTTATATTAATAAGAAAAATAAAATAGTGTTGAAGTGTTGGGGCAGTGAAAATTGTGGGGGGTGGTATGGAGAGATAATGGGCAATGTTTCTCAAGGCTGCTTCGAGCTGGATTAGGGGTGGTGTGGGAACCTAGAGTGGGAGAGATTAAGCTGAAGGAAGATTTTGTGGTAAGGGGTGATATTGTGGGGTTGTTAGAAGAAACATTTGTCATATAGAATGATTGGTGATGACCTGGATATGGTTTTATATGAATTGAGAAATGAAATGGAAGACACAAAGTCCAAATAAGGGAAGGAGAAAAACAGGTATTAAAGGACTAAGAATTGGGAGGACCCAGGACATCCTATTAGAGAGCACCCAAGGGGGTTCAGCGTAATTACTTGTTTGGTTGGTGAGTTTTTTGGGCTGTATCCTTGAGTTTTTTTTTATGTTGTCATATACCAGGCCAGATTGATTTAGGCAAAAACAAAACTCTTCATTTAAACATCATAATACAGAGTCCTCTTTTTTTAAGCAGTAAGTCAAGGCCTCAGTGATTTTGGAGGAAAGAGAAATGCAAAGCCAGCAATTGTTTGTTAAAGAAGGATTAGAAACAGCTAGAAGAGAGCGAGTGAGATTGATAGTGTAGTGGAGATAGCTGGGGAGAGGTAGAGGGTGGCATAAGAATGGGAACGAGAATAAGAGTGAATATAAAAGTAAAGAATAGGACTTCATCAGGGTGAAAGTATTGAAGTGTACCTTGCCACTGAAGATCTTTAATCCACTTTAAGAGAGACTTATGGGTGGCAGTTTGAGGTAAAACCAGGAGATATCAGTTATGGTGGTTTGGAGGAAAAGTGTAAACCGGCAGTGTAAACAAGGGCAGGGCATTTACAAGTAGTTGAGAATGGTGAATAAGAGTATGATTAGACAGAAGATAGGGATGAAGGCTGGTCTGTTATTGGAGTGTATAGAGGTGGGAAGGCCAAACTAAGGAATTATGTTTGACAGAAGGGAAGAAATGACTGTGCTGGCCTTCTCAGACCCTGTGGGAAAGGCCTCTACTCATTCAGTGAAAGTGTCTACCCAGACCAAGAGATATTTTAGTTTTCTGACTCAGGACATGTGAGTAAAGTCAATTTGCCAGTCCTTCACAGGGGCAAATCCCCAAGCTTGATGTGTAGGGAAGAGAGGGGGCCTGAACAATCCCTGAGGAGTAGTAGAATAGCAGACAGAACACTGAGAAGTTATTTCCTTGAGGACAGATTTCCGTGATGGAAAGGAAATGAGAGGTTCTAAGAGTTGGGCTAGCGGATTGTAACCTACATGGAAGAGGTTATGAAATGACAACAGAATAGAATAGGCCTGTGAGGTGGGAAGGAGATATTTTCCTTGGTCCAAGAACCATTTGCTTTCTGTGGGAAGAGATTGATAGGTGGAAGTTTCAGCGGGGAGTAGGCAGGAGTGACTGATGAGAAGAACAACTGCCGTGAGGAATAGAAGTTGGAACTCTAACTGCTTTTTTAGCTACCTTATCAGCATAAGCGTTACCCTGAATGATGGCATCTGATGCCTTTTGATGGCCCTTGCAGTGAATGACTCCCACTTCCTTTGGAAGTAAAGCGGCCTTGAGAAGAGTTTTTATTAAAGAGGCATTAATGATGGGGGACCCTTACATAGTGAGGAAATTTCTTTCTGCCCATATAACAGCATGGTGGTGCAGGATATGGAAGGCATGTTAAGAGTCAGTATAAATATTGATGCCTCGTCCCTTTGCAAGAGTGAGGGCCTGAGCTAAGGCAATGAGTTCAGCTTGCTGAGAGGTAGTGGAGGGGGGCAAAATGGTAGCCTCAATGATAGATGTGGAAGATACTATAGCATAGCCTGCCTTTGCTGGTGAGTGGTGATTAGGCCTGGTGGAACTGCCACTGATAAACCAAATGTGATCAGGGTGAGGAAAAGGAAAGAAGGAAATATGGGGAAATGGAGTGAATGTCAGGTGGATCAGAGATATACAGTCACAGGGGTCAGTTGTCGTATCCAGAATAATGTGGAAAGCTGGATTGAAGTCTGGACCAGGAACAATGGTAATTGTGGGAGACTCAACAAAGAGTGAGTATGGCTAAATGAACCAGGGAGCAGAAAGTATATGCATCAGGTGTGAGGAAGAAAACAGATTTTGGAAGTTATGAAAACTGTAGAGAGTCAGTTGAGCATAGTTTGTGATTTTGAGGGCCTCTAAAAGTATTAGGGCAGTGGCAGCCACCACACACAGACATGAGGGCTACGCTAAAACAGTAAGGCCAAGTTGTTTGGACAGAAAGGCTACAGGGCATGGTCCCAGCTCTTGTGTAAGAATTCTGATTGCACAGCCCTGTATTTCAGCTGTGTGTAATGAAAAGAGTTGAGATGAGTTAGGGAGAGCTAGTATGGGAGCAGTTTTTAGGGCTTTTTAAGGAATGGAAAGGGGAGTGGGGAAAGAATTTAGGATTTATGGGGTCAGCTAGGTTTTCTTTTGTGAGTTTATATAATGGTTTAGCCAGGATGGTAAAACTATGTATTTAAAGGCAGAAGTACCTAACCATGTCCAGGAAGGAAAGGAGTTGTTGTTTTGTAGAAAGGGTTGGGGTTTTGGAGTTTAGCCAGACATGATTAGCAGGGAGAGCACATTTGTTTTTATGAAGAATTATGCCAAGATACGTAACAGATGAGGAAGAAATTTGGGCTTTGGAGGGGGATACACGATATCCTTCTGAGAACAGATGTTGGAGGAGCAGGAGGGTGTCCTGTTGGGAAGATTTGTAGGAGGGGCTATAAAGTAGAAGGTTGTCAAAATATTTAATTAGGTGAGAAGCAGATGGATGGAAAGAAAGTAAATCATGAGAAAGGGCTTTACTGAAGTAATGAGGACTGTCCCTGAAGCCTTGCGGCAGTACAGCCCAGGTAAGCTGCTGGGACTAATGGGTGTCAGGGTCAGTCCAGGTAAAAGCAAAAACAGGCTGGGATGAGGGGTGCAGGGGAATAGTGAAAAAACCATCTTTAATGTCAAGAACAGAATAGTGAGTTGTGGAGGAAGGTATTGAGGACAAAATAGTGTATGGGTTGGGCACCACAGGGTGGATAGGCCAAACAATTTGGTTGATAAGGCACAGATCCTGAACTAACCTGTAAGACTTGTCCAGTTTTTGGACAGGTAAAATGGGAGAATTGTCAGGAGAGTTTATAGGCTGTAAAAGGCCATGCTGTAACAGGTGAGTGATAATGGGCTTTAATCCTTTTAAAGCATGCTGTGGGATGGGATATTGGCGTTGAGCAAGATAAGTGTGATTAGGTTTTAATGGGATGGTAAGGTTGCATGATCAGTCCCCAAGGAGGAGTAGAGGTGTCCCATACTTGTGGGATTAAGGTGGGGAGATACAAGGGGAGGATGTGAAGGAGGCTTTGAACTGGGGAAAAGGGCAGCAATGAGGTGTGGCTGTAGCCTAGGAATAGTCAGGGAAGCAGATAATTTAGTTAAAATGTCTCAACCTAATAAGGGAGCTGGGCAGGTGGGGATAACTAAAAAGGAGTGCATAAAAGAATGTTGTCCAAGTTGGCACCAGAGTTGGGGAGTTTTAAGAGGTTTAGAAGCCTGGCCATCAATACCTACAACAGTTATGGAGGCAAGTGTAACAGGCCCTTGAAAAAAAGGTAATGTGGAGTTGGTAGCCTCCATATTGATTAAGAAGGGGACCGACTTACCCTCCACTGTAAGAATTACCCAAAGCATCTGTGATGGTCCAGGAGGCTTCTGAGGCAATTGGGCAGCATCAGTCTTCAGTTGCTAAGCCGAGAAGGCCTTGGGCCAGAGTTCCAGGGGCTCTGGGAGTGGCTGCCGGGTGAGTTGGATAGTCCGATTTCCAGTGAGATCCCACACAGATAGGACATGGCTTAGGAGGAATCCTGGGCTGTGGGCATTCCTTGGCCCAGTGGCCAGATTTCTGGCACTTGAAGCAAGATCCTGATGGAGGAGGTCCTGTAGGAATGCTTAACCGCTGTGGCTTAGGCATTTTGAAGTTCTTGTGTGCTGGAGGTGCGGCTGGGTTTTGCCTCACAGAGGAGGAAAGTAATTGCAACTCTTCTCTGTTATTGTACACCTTGAAGGTGAGGTTAGTTGAGTACTTTTGTGGGGTTTGAGGGCTGGAATCTAATTTTTGGAGCTTTATTTAATGTCGGGAGCAGATTGGGTAATAAAATGCATATTGAGAATAAAATGGCCTTCTGACCTTTCAGAGTCTAGGGCTGTAAAGCATCTCAGGGTTGCTACCAAACAAGCCATGAAATGGGCTGGGTTTTTATTTTTGGTGAAAAAGAGTCTAAATGCTAACTGATTTGGGAGAGGTTGGATAAAGAAAAAAAGCATTAACCTTGAGTATACCTTTAGCTCCAGCCACCTCTTTAAGATGAAATTGTTGGGCAGGTAGGGAAGGGCTAGTCGTGGAACAAAACTGTAAGCCAGACCAGGTGTGAGGAGGGGAGGAGATAAAAGGATTATAGGGTAGAGGAGCAGAAGCTGAGGAAGAATTGGAGCCTGATTCAGCCTGGTGGGGAGTGACCTGAGGAGGATCA
Organism: Homo sapiens; assembly: GCF_000001405.40. NCBI lineage: Eukaryota > Metazoa > Chordata > Mammalia > Primates > Hominidae > Homo > Homo sapiens. The sequence continues at coordinate 63,951,559 of NC_000006.12, read as the reverse complement.
GTCTAGGGATGAGGGGAGAAGTCAGATGGGTCGGTAGAAAAGGAAGATTGAAAAGACTCAGTGATGCTTGGGGTTCAGACTGAGGGGACAGGTGGGAGGGAAAGGAGGAGGATTTGGGACAAGTCACATTGGGAACAGAGACTAGGGAGGGTTCGATGTGTAAAAGAATGCCTGGACATCAGGCACCTCAGACCATTTGTCCATTTTACAACAAGAATTACCTAGATCTTGTAGGATGGAGAAATCGAAAGTGACGTTTTTTGGATATTTGGAAAAATTGTCGAGTTTATATTGGGGTCAAGTGGCATTGCAGAAGAAAGTAAGGCATTTAGGTTTTAGGTCAGGTGTGAGTTGAAGAGCTTTTAAGTTCTTGAAAACACAGGCTAAGGGAGAAGAAGGAGGAATGGTGGGTGGAAGGTTGCCTATAGTGAAGGAGGCAAGCTCAGACAAAAGAGAGGGTAGAGACACGGAGAGAAGGGGTGAGGGGTGCTTGCCCCCTAGGAAAGTGGTGCTTGACACTAAGGGTGAAGGATCAAGGCAGGCATCCCCGTGGTGATCAGACACCTCTGAAATGTCGGTGAATAATCAAGCAGGCATCCCCGCAGTGATTAAACACTAAGGGAAGACTGTCTTCCCAAGTATGTGACAGGCGCCGGAGTTTTGGGTTCACGGATAAAACACATCTCCTCTGTCTCTACCAGAAAAGGAAAGGAACTGAAATTAAAAGAAGGGAGAGATTGAAGGGTGGCACCAAGATTGAAAGGAGAAAGAGGTTGAGGGATAGAGAGGTTGGAGAAGAGAGTAAAAAGAGATCACTTACCTGATTAAAAATTGGTGAGATGTTCCTTGGGCTGGTTGGTCTGAGGACCAGAGGTCGTAGGTGGATCTTTCTCACGGAGCAAAGAGCAGGAGGACAGGGGATTGATCTCCCAAGGGAGGTCCCCTGATCCAAGTCAGGGCACCAAATGTCACGCGCGTCCATGTGAAGAGACCACCAAACAGGCTTTGTGTGAGCAATAAAGCTTTTTAATCACCTGGGTGCAGGTGGGCTGAGTCTGAAAAGAGAGTCAGAGAAGGGAGATAGGGGTGGGGCTGTTTTATAGGATTTGGGTAGGTAATAGAAAATTATAGTCAAAGGGGGTTGTTCTCTGGCAGGCAGGGGCGGGGGTCACAACATGCTCAGTGGGGGAGCTTCTGAGCCAGGAGAAGGAATTTCACAAGGTAATGTCATCAGTTAAGGCAGGAACCGGACATTTTCACTTCTTTTGTGATTCTTCAGATACTTCAAGCCATCTGGACATCTGTGTGCAGGCTTGGGCCCAGAAGCCTGACAAGCAGGTTTTGTTTTTTTTGTTTTTTTTTTTTGTTTTGTTTTGTTTTTGTTTTTTGAGACGGAGTCTCATTCTGTTGCCAATGCTGGAGTGCAGTGGTGTGATCTTGGCTCACTGCAACCTCCACCTCCCGGGTTCAAGCAATTCTCTGCCTCAGCCTCCCGAGTAGCTGGTATTACAGGTGCCTGCCACCACGCCCGGCTAATTTTTTGTATTTTTAGTAGAGATGAGGTTTCACCATCTTGGCCAGGCTGGTCTGGAACTCCTGACCTCGTGATCCACCTGCCTTGGCCTCCCAAAGTGCTGGGATTACAGGCGTGAGACACCGCGCCTGGCCAAAAAGCAGATTTTTAATGCTGATGAGACTGGTTTGTTTTATAAGGACATTGACAAATGAACCTACCTAAGGCAAATGACATTTTGGTTGGTGACAGTGTTGTGACCAAAGGTTCTTAGGAATCCAACTTGTTATTTTAGGAGTAATAGTTCCATATTTGTTAGTTTATTATTTATGCCACTTTATAGAACATAATTCCCAGAAGAATGAGAATAACTGTGTGTCTCTTAACTCAAGGAGGTCATAGTCTAGTGGATGAGAGGCATATCAGCAGACAGTTATACAAATGGCATCTATTATGCACACAATATATATTTATTGAATGAATGAATAAATGAGTGAATAAAAAGGGCAATGAAAAGAATATGTCTAAGATATGAGCTTTAGGAGGCACCTAACCCAGTCCTGAGAACTGAAATTGAGAATATCTTCCCAGAGAAAGGGACCACTGAATTGAATATTTATATATAAGAAAGCTACCCAGGCAAAGAGAGGAACTGCATGTACAAAAGTATGGCAGGAAGATAACCTAGAAAATTTAAGAAATTCCAAGGAGATTAGTATGGCTAGAACACAGGACACTTGTAGGATAGTGTAAGTGTTGAGATGGGCAAGGCATCTGGGGCTGGACTAATGAGTTTAAAATTTATGCCAAAGGGAGTGGGGAATAACAGAATATGTAAAGCATAGACACTTCACTACCCTTATCTTTTCTTCTAACAGAACTATGTCTACCTGTGTCTGATTTTGAAGTGTCCATTGATGAGTCTTTAATTTTGTGTCAATTTCATTTTCTGTTAGTCTTTGAGCTATATGGAATCTTCACTAAAAGTATAATTTAAAATGCTCATTTTTGTATATTAAAAAATCTCAAAATATTATAGGTAGTACACTGTAGTAACTGAACAATTCTGAAAATACAGAAATAATAAGACATAGGGAAGATAAACACATGACACAAAGTAGAAGATAATATATAGATGAGAACATATATATAGCACACTGTATATATAGCACATATTATATGTATTACATATTATATATACAGTATGTAAATAATTATGGAACAATACTTAAATGCCCAGATACAGAATGCCCATTGCCTCTTTAAGCCAGTAAAGAACCTAAACCTCATTACCTGAACATTCTGCACTTTTGTCCCTGGTTTGGAACCAAGTTAATAGAATACTCTTGACTGAAAGGTTGATTCAAATATTAGTATTTTTTAGAAAAAAAAATTGGTTCAGGAGAAGGAGAGAGAAAGAAAGAAAGAGAGAAAGGAAGGAGAAAGGAAATCAGGGAGAGAGAGAAAAATGTTTGTCCCCTAAAATGGAAAAACAGGGCATTGCTTTCTTTCAAGCTGTCTGATCAGCATCTTGTTGGGGAGATACACCCTTGTGGTGTTTGTCACCAGCCTGCTACTGGAGGCAGGCATCAGTGCAGCTGACATTGTAAAGAGCAGCTACATGATAGAGCAAAAGGCACTTGTCTCATATTTCTGAGAGACAAAGAAATGGAGAAGCATGTTCTCCTCCAGTGCACAAAAGGCAAAGATAAGTGCACATGCTATGAGAAAGCAATTGAGATTGAGAATTCATCTTGTGGGAGAAGAGGGAGAAAAAAGGCATATCCATCTTCACACAATGGCAGCTTCTACAAAGAAAGGACAGATCGCAAGTGTTCTGTGCAGCCAAGTATGATTAATAATGAAAGGAGAAGCCTAGAAGCTCTAATACAATATAAAAGCAAGATCTTTTCATTTTCTTTGTCTTTGAGATGTGCATGTGTGTTTAACATGTTTTCTTCAAATAGTTGAGGTGTTTTTGCATCATTTAGTTCACTATATTTTTACTCATGAGTCATTAGTATTGTGTTTAATGCTCCATCTTAATAAAACCTCAGCAGAATGTAATGTGAGCAACGAAAGCACTTTCAAATGAACTTTCTTCCTAAGACTTATTACTAAAAACCTTGCTATATTGGCCTAAATAATGAATAACGTTATGTCATGACCTTCAGTATGAAACAGCTCTGTTTTCACAACAATAATTTAATAGAAAAGAACCATTTAATCAATCATGAAACAGAAGAGCTCAACATAAGGCATAACCAATGATTGCTTTCTGTCAGGGGGCATTTTTTTTCTAATTGCTTATTATGCGATTAGGACAATATTCCTGCTTGCTGTAAACATTTAACATCTTTACCACTGACTTTGCTGGCATACAGGAAATAGTTGATTATAATAATGAGAAAAGGCAAGAGCTTAGTGCTTCGAATAACATCTAGCAAATCTCAGAAACTGTTGGGGCGGGATTCACAAACCAATTATATATGTAAATTCCTAATAGTAGGTAAATTACAGATCTTTTTTCTATAAAGAGTATTTCTTCTCCTTCAAATAATTCAATCAAAATCCAGCAAAATGTAGGCTAATAGCAGTAATTATTTATCATTTTTAAGGAGTAATAATATAAAATAATTTTCTATTTTTAATAAAAATCACTAATTTATTATTTCTTAGTACTTTTTAATGCATGTGTTTAATTGTCCCAACAACTCTGAGATAAAAACTGCTTATTATCTTCATATTTTTAGATGAAAAAACTGAGATACAAAAAGACTGAATGCTTTTTGCCAAGGTCACACAAACTAGAAAATTTAAGAACTGGGATTTAAGCACATTCACTCTACAGGCAAACTCTCAGCTACCAAAATATACAAATGTTATTATAACATTTTGTTCAAACTCAATATACTTTTCTTAAAAAGTATGTTGTTAACCACCATCACCCTCACTTTACAAAATAAGAATTTCCAAAATCATGAATATTTCATGATTTTAATAAAATACTACCTTTGAGGCATATTTGGTATTCCACCACAGATATCTTTTAAATTTTTTTATTTTTAATTTTTATGGGTACATAGGTGTATATATTTATGGGGTATATGAGATATTTTGATACATACATACCATCAGTAATAATCACATCAGGGTAAATGGGATATTCATCACCCCAAGCATCTATCTTTTCATCACAGACATTTTTATCCAGAATCCTTAAAGATCTGGTGCTTCAAAGTTTCTAAAAAGATATTTTATTCTGCAAAACAGAGACTTCCTTCTAACTCTTTCATGTAGCCAAAAAAAAAAAAAAAAAATAGTTCATAAAACCAGACTATATTCAGGATTTCATACAAAACTTTATTCAATTTAATATATTTTACTCTGTTTACTATGTAACTGAGATGTAACACAGTTACACCTTGTGTAAACCAATTTTGTAAACCAGTACACCTTACTTGATCTGTCAACTTAAAAGCAAACAAGCTACACAAAATGTAAAATGTAGCGTAAGACCTCCTATATAAAAGAGAACTTAATGAAAAGTGAATAGGATTACCAGAAAGAATGATTAGTATGACTTTCTACTAAAAAAATCTAAGAATCATTTGTATGAGTTAATACATATAAAATGCTCTTAATACTTAACAGAAATAAAACTCTATAAAGAACTATTTTTCTTCAATATTAACTTTATAATTATTGAATATGATCATTCAGATAATTTGAACATTTAGCACAGATTTATCATGTTATGCTGAGACATAAAAACTTGCATAAAACCAAATGAATACAGTGAAAAGTCCTAAGTTGTGTGCACAGCATCTGCATAATGCCTTCCCAATACAAGCATTGGGCTGGGCCTCTGGGATGTGTGTCCAGGACCAGCTCTGCCACTTGAAACCTTGGATGGGTACGTCAGAGCCCTGAGCTTGAGTTTTCATTTGTAGAATTAGTAAGTGAAATAGGCATTTTAGAGTCCCTTCTAACTGTGGAATTCTACATTTATAGCGTTTAGTGGCAGTAATCATGAAGAGAACCCTGAACTCTAAATAGAGCAGTGAACTCAAAGTCAAAGCATTCAGGTTTTATTCGTAGGTTCAGGAAAAGGAATAAGGAAAGGGCAGTTGGGACAAATACTTGTGAAGCCATTAGAGAGTGATCTGATATGATAGTGTGAGTTATTGAGGTGGTGTTTACTCATAAACCAGTTCACCTTATTTGATGTGTTAATTCAAGAAATTAGATCAGGTAAATACTTTGATGAAACAGAGCTAACAAGCAAAAGAATCAAATCAATCTGGCATGTAAACAGACTGAGATATAAGGATTTCTTACTCTGCCTGTTCAATTACATACAAATTTCATCATACAATTTCATTTCCCTGGATTTATTGACTATAAATTTGCACTTAACTCAGTAATAGTTGCTTTGTAATGTGCAATAATTAAGTATATTTGCATGTACTTTTGCATATGTGTGGTGAGGGTGTGGAGGATCGTTTAAGGTCAGATGAATTACTCTGAATATTTTGCCATTAACCTCCCTAAACCTTTAATCTTTACCTAAACCTACCTGTATATATGGCTGATATGGTTTGGCTGTGTCACCACCCAATTCTCATCTTGAATGGTAGTTCCCATAATCTCCACGTGTTGTGGGAGGGGACCGGCGGGAGGTAATTGGATCATGGGGGCAGTTTCCCCCATGCTATTCTCGTGATAGTTCTCACAAGATCTGATGGTTTTATAAGGGCCTTCCTGCTTCTCTGGTTTCTCATTCTTCTCCTTCCTGCCGCCATGTGGAGAAGGATGTGTTCCCCTTCCACCGTGAATGTAAGTTTTTTGAGGCCTCCCCAGCCATGCTGAACTGTGAGTCAATTAAACCTCTTTCCTTCTTAAATTACCCAGTCTCGGGTATTCCTTCAGAGCAGTGTGAGAAAGTACTAATATAATGGCTAAATCATATTGTCATTAAATAATTTATCAAAACAGTGATTTACTTCCGTATAACCAAATATATGTCATTGACAATATTTTTTTTTACTAAAGTGATCAAGGTTTTGATGTGTAAATATACTTCTTTTATTCTTATTTTTTATTTTTTTTGAGATAGAGTCTTGCTCCCATCACACAGGCTGGAGTGCGGTGACACGATCTTGGCTCACTGCAACCTCCACCTCCAGGGTTCAAGTGATTCTCCTTCCTCAGCCTCCCTAGTAGCTGGAATTACAGGTGTGTGCCACCATGCCTGGCTATTTTTTTTATTTTTATTTTTTTAGTAGAGACGGGGTTTTGCCACGTTGGCCAGGCTGGTCTCAAACTGACCTCAAGTGATCCACCCACCTCAGCCTCCCAAAGTGCTAGGATTACAGGCATGAGCCACCACTCCTGGCCAGTATAGTTCTCCTAAAGTCATTATTGTAATCTTGAAAAATGCTAAGAGTAGATGTAAAGTGTTCTCACCACAAAAATGATAACTGTGTTAGGTAATGCATGTGTTAACTAGATTTAGTCATTTCACAGTGTATATAGACTTTGAAACATCATGTTGTACATGAAAATACAATTATCTGTCAATTTTTTAAATAATGTTTTTAATTTAGAAATTTAAAGAAATGCAATTTTTAAAATTAACTGGCAGACTAAAGCATGTCGTACACTTTCGTAAAATGTACTAACAGTCTCTATGTTTGAGATACATTAAGGCAAAAATTCTTATTTTTCTCATTTATTATATATCTGAAAACACATAAAAAGCTCATTTTTGCCATATGTGGCTAAGAGCTAGATGCACTGCCTTATATTTTGCTGTAAATTGTTTCCCTTTCAGCTTTTTCTATTGCTTATTTGTTGAATTAGCCAGGATTATTTTGGCTGTGAGGGACAGAAACCCAACACAAACTAGCTTACAACAGAAAAAAGAGTCATTGTCTCTTATTAGAAAGTCTAAGGCTTCAGGCAGGGTCAGGTCCTGCGCTCTGCATCTCTCTGTCTTTATTCTGCTTTTCTCTCTGGCTTTTTGTCCCAGCAGCTAGAAAAGAAGGCTGTTGGCATTCCAACTAGATGGTCTTCACAGCATGTGATCCAGGACAAAGAAAAAGCCTTTCTTCCTGCATCCACTTATCAAATGTTAGGAAAACCTCTTATTGAATATTATTATTAACAGGTATATCTGTTTGGTCAGCCTGGGTTGGTAGCTGCACAAACAAAGGAAACTAGGTAAGCAAAAGCAATGTGCATAGTCCATCCATGGAGAGAATAGTAATTTTGTCAAGTTACTATCTATCTGGAGAAATGCTACAGAGAAACAAGGGCAATGCCTCTCTGGTAACTAGCAGGGAAAAGCACTCTACCAAAATAGGAACAGTACAAGTTTGAATTGCCTTAAATCTATGTATTTAAAACTAAACACCGTTTTTGGTCTAGTGTGTAGTTTTAATTAAATTTGAACTTTGAAATTAAATTATTCAAAACCAATAATTTGCACATATCTTCTTATCAAGAAAAATTCTTGCTTTAATTCATTTTTGTAATGTTTAGGTTTATACACATAAATATATATCTTCATGAATATCTTCATATTTTCATGCAGAATCAAGCTAGGCAAAATATTTTCTGAGTCTGTAAACTTTAATGTAAACTACCTCACTAGGCATTTTTGCACATTATAAAAATCAAACCAACCAACTCTGTGATTAAATAATCAAGTACCAAATGTATGGATAAGACCATTAGTAGCCACCTAAGTAAGTTAACTCTGAGTTTGATACCCTTTCTCCTGAAAATAATTTTTATTTGGAGAGTCTTGTCTTTCTATTGTTTTTGTTGTATGGTTCAAATAATAAATACATCCAGACTTTTGGTTCTACAGTTGACACCTGAACAACACAGGAGTTAGGGGTGCCAACCCCCATGCAGTCAAAAATCCACATGATTCTTGACTTCTCAGAAGCGTAACTACTAATAGCTTACTGTTGACCAGAAACCACACCAATAACATAAACAGTTAACACATATTTGATATGTTATATACATTATATACTGTATTCTTACAATAAAGCTAGAGAAAAGAAAACACTAGTAAGAAAATCATAAGAAAATGTATTTACTATCCATTAAGTGAAAGTGATCAGAATCAAGGCCTTCATCCTCCTTGTCTTCACATTGAGTAGGCTGAGGAGGAGGAAGAGGAAGAAGAGTGTTGCTGTCTCAGGGATAGCAGAGGCGGAAGAGGTAGAAGAGACAGAAGGGGAGGCAGGAGAGACAGACACATTCAGTTTAACTTTACAGAAATATGTCATAATTTCTGTCTGATGTTTTTTTTATTTCTCTAAAAATGTTTCTATATGGTACCAATTATTCTTCCACTGTTTGCTTTAGTTTCAATGTCCATATCATGGAAGGGCCCATGTCCTAAAAGAATTCAAAAGCAGTCTTGAGTAATCAGAACCCTTCTACCAGATTGTTTAATGTCGATTTGTTTTCTGGCACTGCTTCTTCTACCTGTTCTTCCTCATCGTCTGCCACTGATTGGAAGCACACATCTCCACCAAGTTGTCTTCCATTAATTTTCTATTAATTAGAGACACCTTAATAGAGATGTCTACTAAGCTGTTGAATTTCTCCAAGATCCTATATTGAAACCTTCTCCTGCTGCCTTTTTTGCCATATCCATAATCTCTTTTATGACTTCCTTGATTGGCTTTGTCATAAATCTTGTGAAGTCATGCCTATCTGGACACAGTTGTTTCCAGCAGGAATTTGTTGTTTTAGGTTTAATGGCCTTCACAGCTTTCTCTATAACAATGATGACATTTTTTAGTGGTCTAATGCATCCAGACTTTTATGTTATTCTCTCTACTGGGATTATCTTCCTCATTGTTGACAATCCTGTCTATAGAGTGCTGTGTGTAATCAGCCTTAAAGATCCTTATAACCCCCTGATCTAGAGGCTGAATTAGAGACATCATGTTTTCCTAAAAACTATGTAGACTACTTCAATACAAGTAGACTACTGCAACACCTTTAGTGTTTAACTCATTGTACTCTGGGTGGCTAACGGCATTGTTCAAAATCAAAAGAACTTTAAAAAACAGTTCCTTACATGTATGGTACTTCCTGACTTCAGTGACAAAGCATTAATGGAACCAATTCAGAACAAGTGTTCTCATTGTCCAGGCTTTCCTGTTGCACAACCGAAAGACTGGCAGCTAGTGTTGATCTTTTCCCTTTTAGCCTAGTAGCTTAGCAGCTGTATAGGTAAGGGAGCTTAGCAGCTGTATAGGTAAGGGGAGTCCCGATCATAAACACAACTGCATTTGCACAAACAGTAGCATTAGCTTATCCCTTTCTGCCTGAAATCCTAGTGCTTGCTTCTATTCCTTACTAATAAGTGTCCTTTGTGGCATTTTTTTCCAGAATAGGGCACTTATCTGAATTAAAAACCTATTCAGGGGCTAATATCCAGAATCTACAAAGAACTTAAACAAATTTACAAGAAAAAATCAAACAACCCCATCAAAAAGTGGACGAAGGATATGAACAGACACTTCTCAAAAGAAGACATTTATGCAGCCAACAGACACATGAAAAAATGCTCATCATCACTGGCCATCAGAGAAATGCAAATCAAAACCATAATGAGATACCATCTCACACCAATTAGAATGCTGATCATTAAAAAGTCAGGAAACAACAGGTGCTGGAGAGGATGTGGAGAAATAGGAATACTTTTACACTGTTGGTGGGACTGTAAACTAGCTCAACCATTGTGGAAGTCAGTGTGGTGATTCCTCAGGGATCTAGAACTAGAAATACCATTTGACCCAGCCATCCCATTACTGGGTATATACCCAAAGGATTATAAATCACGCTGCTATAAAGACACATGTGCACGTATGTTTATTGCGGCACTATTCACAATAGCAAAGACTTGGAACCAACCCAAATGTCCATCAGTGATAGTCTGGATTAAGAAAATGTGGCTCATATACACCATGGAATACTATACAGCCATAAAAAAGGGTGAGTTCATGTCCTTTGCAGGGAAATGGATGAAGCTGGAAATCATCATTCTGAGCAAACTATCGCAAGGACAGAAAACCAAACACTGCATGTTCTCACTCATAGGTGGGAACTGAACAATGAGAACACTTGGACACAGGGTGGGGAACATCACACACCGGGGCCTGTTGTGGCAGAGGGGGAGGGGGGAGGGATAGTATTAAGAAAAATACCTAATGTAAATGATGAGTTAATGGGTGTAGCACACCAACATGGCACATTTATACATATGTAACAAACCTGCACATTGTACACATGTACCCTAGAAGTTAAAGTATGATTAAAAAAAAAAAGAGGAAAAAAAAACGTATTCAGGCAGATATCCTTTCTCCTCAATGATTTTCTTAATGGCATCTGCGAACTCATCAGAAGAAGCTACTCCTCCTGTTATCCTGATGTTTTTTAAGCCATACTACATTCTAAAATCAACAAACCATCCTTTGCTGGCATTAAATTCTCCAGCTTTAGATCCATCACCTTCCTTTTGCTTTAAGTTGTCATATAATGAATAAATTTCTCAAATCATAGCAATCCTATATCCACATAAAAGCTGAATTTTCAATATAAGATTAAAAGGTATTTTGCAGAAAGTACAAAGTTTTTACACCCGCTGGCCTAGCTGCAGCAACAGCTTCACAAATTTCCTTTTCTTTTTTTTTTTAACAATGGTTTTATGTTGTGTTCATTTATCTTGAAATAGCAGCAACCACAACTACAGATTTCAATCTATGGTACATAGCAAGCAATTAGACTTTTTCTTGTAATGTCATGACTTTTCTCTGCTTCTTGGGAACACTTCCAGCATCACTAGTGGCACTTCATATGGGTCCCATAACATTATTCAAGATGCACTAAACAAGATGAGAAATATGCAAGAACCACAGGAGATCAGTTTTTACTGCAATATGCAATTTACTGGAGAGATGAACTGCTCATGCAGCAATGGTTAGGTCACATCGCATTTTAAGTAGATACCCAAAACACTTGAGCTCACCTCAATAGCCACAAGAGGTGGCTACAGAATTATTACAGTAGTACAGTATGTTCTGTTAATTTAATGCAGTTATAATTTAATACTGCATCTTTACATTTGTTTACATTTCTCCCAACTATTAATAGCACCATGTACAGTCTTTAAGTGTGAGCATAACTTTTGATAAATTTCAATATTTATAATAGATTTGTGTATATTTTCTGGTAATAGATAATAAAATAGATGTATCTACATATGTATTATGCATTTATGACATATCTTTTCCTTAGTTTTTTTTCAATATTTCTGGGCTATATGGTTTGTGAGTTTTTTCAAACTGTCACAAACTTCAAAACATATTTCAATATATTTATTGAAGAAAATCCATATATAAGTGAACCCATGTAGTTAAAACCCTTGTTGCTCAAGGGTCTGCTATATTTTTATATTCAATGACATTAATTATGGAAAACAAACCTTATAAAAATATTTCTCATTAAAATTCACTTTGTAAAACTCCTAAACCCAGAAAGAAAGCAATTTTTGTCTTACTCTTTCTTTTGTCAAAACTGAATTTTGAAACACTTTCCCAACCCCGTTAACAGTGCCATCCTTTCCAACTGGTATTTCTTTGTTTGTTTTATCTAAAACACTAAAGAAATTATTGGGGATGGGTGGGGACTTTCCTGCGTCTTTATCATGCCTATGAAAATTTTACAAACTTGGTATCCCTCTTAATCTCAATCCTCTAGTACCCCTTAAAGTGTAACTTTGAAAGAGTAATTTTAGAGATACTGAGCTTGAAAAGGCTTTTGAAATATTTCATTTCTGAGCTGAGTCAAAAATAGGCATATTTGTTAAAAAAAAAAAAAAATCCCCTCACAAAGAAGCTTGTCTGGGAAAAGTATTCTTCAAAACTGCTTTCAGAAAGCCTCTGTTCCAATTCATGGAGCTTATTGTTCTGATCTCAGAGCTCAATCCCCACAGCTTGAATTTCTTTTCAAAATTGTTTAATGACTTTTAAGAATGTGTTTCTTGCTAAGTCTTGTGAGCTTCCAGTGTCAATGTTTGCCTTTTGATTTCTGTTATTTAGTTCACTTTTGTGCTCCTGACCCATGATAAAACAAGGACCAGAACTGTCCAGCTCTTTGTAAAATATGTGCTCATCCAACTCAGCACCCTTGAGTACACGTGTGACTTAGAAATTAGGCTTTTCCTCACTGCATCTACTTGTGACATTTGCCAAATATTTTTATATATCCAACTCATTTTGGTATGATTTTGGATGAAATAGATGTGTTAACCTGCAAGTGCTGCAGATGTTACTAACAAAATCATACGTGACACACTGGGCAGAAATTAAGAGAAATTAAGTCAAAAGTTTATAGAATCATTTACAGATCACATTTTCTTTTTCAACCAAGAGAATTAAACCACATTTCAATATTTCTATCATATTTAAGCTATGTTAGAAAATGTATTTAAGAAAATAGCTTCTGGTCTTCCCATGGCTAACTGGGCTGCCTGGATGGTAGATCAGACTGACCAATGTTATCTTTAAATGTTAAAACCCTGTGGTTGCATCCAGAAGTTAGTTACAATTCTGCAGAGCCCTGTTTCCTTAGAACCTGAGGGACATCCCTTTCTTAGCACAGTACTAATAATCCTGAAATCCTATAAGGACTAGTTATTTTAACCATATTTCATGGGCAGCAGCAGACTCGACTCCAAGCCTGATAATTAGACTGTGGTTGGGTCTGTATCACCATACGAGACCAGCAACTCTAAATATGCGTTATTCCTGTAGCATTAGGTGAGGTTGGCTAGGTACTTGAGTTTCCTATTTCCTTTCTACTTCGAAGTCTCATCTTCATCTGTGCAGAGTTCAGAAATCTAATTTTATTGGTTGTTCTAGGTTAACCAGTTGATTTACAAATCTAAGTGCAGGTGAAAAAGTTATCAGTCATATTACTACCTCATTATTTTGTAGTGAGAAATATCATTCCAATTAAATGGAATTGATTTTATCAGCTAGTCAGTGCACGCTCTTCTCAATTTTGACACAGCGGAAATTTGTTTAAATTCAGAAAGTGGTGTCTTAGTCTGTACTGCTGTAACAAAATACCATAGACTGTATAACTTATATACAGGGAGAAGAGTGGAGAAGAATGAAATGGATTGGGAGAGGAAAATATTAAATATCCAGCATAGTTCTCATATTACCCACCAAAATGTATTGATCTCCATTTTTTTCTTTCTTGTTTTCTACTATCAGACAGAAGTCTGGGAATTGTACTATGTTCCTTTCATTAAGAGGGAAGCCTGGCCAGGCGCGGTGGCTCACGCCTATAATCCCAGCCCTTTGGGAGGCCGAGGCGAGCGGATCACGAGGTCAGGAGATTGAGACCATCCTGGCTAACACAGTGAAACCCCGTCTCTACTAAAAATACAAAAAAATTAACCGGTCGTGGTGGCGGGCGCCTGTAGTCCCAGCTACTCGGGAGGCTGAGGCAGGAGAATGGCGTGAACCCGGGAGGCGGAGATTGTAGTGAGCCGAGATCGAGCCACTGCACTCCAGCCTGGGCAACAAAGTGAGACTCCGTCTCAAAAAAAAAAAAAAAAAAAAAAAAAAAAAAAAAAAAAAAAAAAAAAAAAAAAAGAAAAGAGAGAAGCCTAGAAAATTTGGATCTTGACAGTGTCTGATATCACTTCAGATAATAGCACATCTGAGGTGTTGCTTGATATTGCTGACAGCCACACTTGCCTCACTCCTACCTCTAGTAAAGCTAAGATTTTATGTGTCTGTTTTCCCCACTACTTGAGGACAAGGACTATATCCGATTCCCATTTGCATCCTACAATTGTCTAGTATTTAGGGGTTTCTCAAAAATGTTTGCTAAACTGGACTTATTATTCTATGCAGTTGTCACCCTCACTAACACCCTAGTTCTGGATTGAGTTTCTCTCTCCTAGGCAGTACCAGAGCAGCACTAATCTCTCTTTTTCCACAGTATTCCTTTTTCAGTATTCCAGAACCTCGGAAACTTCAGTTGTCCCTTATCACACCACGGCTAGCCTTCATTTAACATATCCTCATGACATGTTATAATTTCCTAGTTTGCAACTTATTTGTTACTGATTTTATTTTAGATTGCTTCCTGGTGACACGCAGAAAGATACCTGAATCTCATCAGTGATATGTTTTCAAATTACATTTTAGTGTAGGTTAATTTAGGAATATTTTTGTAGATTGTTAGTAGCATTAAAAGCTTGTTGATGTTTTTAGTATCAAATCAAGAAACTGACCTTGATCTGTGTTATACCTGGCATATAAAAAGCTCCCAGTTAGATGGATAAACAGAAGAACAAATAAGTGAATGCATGTGTGAATAAATGGGTGAATCATTAACAGAAATCTAAGGATTGACTATCACAGGTCATGCCTGGACATTGCCTGCTAAACAGCAGTCATGTGTAGGATAAGCAGAGCCATGGAAACAGACTATGCACAGTAAGCTGGGGGCTTTAGGGGAGACTAAACTTCTGATTCTGGGGAAAGTGCATATAAAGAGTAGAACACTATATGTAAAGGCTATAGGGAAATATGAACAATGATGATCCAGGGATGTAATCAATATCAGGCTAGCAGAGATTCCTATACATGTAATAGAGAATAGAATATGGAATTCTGAGACAAGTGAATTTTTAAATACATGTAAATTGGCATTTGTATAGCCAGGATACCTATCCGCCAGCAATCAGGATCCAGGTTCCAATTCAGCCCATAATAGACTCTCATCCCAGAAGGGGTCTAGGTTTAATGTCAAAGGGCTATGGTGAATAATGTGAGACCCCCATCCTGGAGAGCTAAGCAGATTCCTGAGCAGGCATCTACAACAAATTTGGAACTAAACATAAAGTAAAACAAATATCACAATATAAGTTTGAAGCCAAAGTGGGGAAATTTAGTGAAAAAAGACATGTTCTCTGGCTTTGGAGATGGTTAGAATTTACCATTCAGAAGTGAAGGGGAAGGTGTACCAGGTAGAGGGAACAGGGTGAATCAAGTTGCCTACATTCCAAACCCTGGCTGTTTGACCATAAAAAAGTTAATTAACATCTCAATTCTTCCATTTCTTTATCTGTAAAATGGGGATCATAAAAATATCTACATCATAGGATTCTTATTAGGATTGTATGTAAAAGGTTTAACAGAGTACTGTTGCAAAAGTAAATGTATAACAAAAATACCACAGACTGGATGACTTAAACAACAGAAATTTCTTTTCTCACAGTTTTGTAGGTTAGAAGTCCAATACCAAGGGTTTGCAGAGTTGGCTCCTTCTGAAGCCTGTCTGTTGGCATGCAGACCTTCTCACTGTGGTCTTTCCTCACGTGGCCTTTCCTCTATGTGTATACATTCATCTTATATCTTTCTGTGTGCCCAAATTTCCTCTTCCTCCTTTTCAAATTTTTTTACAGGAAACCAGTCAAATTAGATGAAAGCCCATCCTAACAAACCACTTCTTTTTAACTTAATCACCTCTGTAAGGCCCTATCTCCAAATATAGTCAAACTGTGAGATACTGGGTGTTAGGACTTCAGCATATGAATTTTGGGGAAAAAACAATTCAGCTCATAACAGATAAGTGCTGTCTAAGAGGGCATGTGGCCAGAAAGCAGAAAGTAAGGACAATAACTCGTCATTCATTTATTCATTCGTCTAATGAATCCTGAGAGCATGCTATGTATCAGGCTATATTCTCAGCTCAGGAAATTCAGCAGTGAACAAGGCAGACAAGCTCCTGCTTTAGGCAGCTTCTATCCCAGCTGAGAAGTTGGGAGGGGAAAGCCAGAAAAACTACTCAAAAATCATGTGTGTTACACTCTGGAAAAATTTCCATGAAGACATGTAGTACAATATAAGGTTTAAATATAGATGTAAACACAAGTCTAGGAGTTTGGATTTTATTAAGTAGATAATGGGGAAATGTACATATTTTAGCAAGGAGGAGGTGCGGGGCTGTGTTTCTGGAAGAGCTCAGAAAAAAAGCAGGTAGTTTTTTTTGTTGTTGTTATTTTTATTTTGTTATTTTTATTTTTTTATTATAATTTAAGTTTTAGGGTACATGTGCACAACGTGCAGGTTTGTTACATATGTATACATGTGCCATGTTGGTGTGCTGCACCCATTAACTCCTCATTTAACATTAGGTATATCTCCTAATGCTAACCCTCCCCCCTCCCCCTCTGCCACAACAGGCCCTGGTGTGTGATGCTCCCCTTCCTGTGTCCATGTGTTCTCATTGTTCAATTCCCACCTATGAGCGAGAACATGCAGTGTTTGGTTTTTTGTCCTTGCGATAGTTTGCTGAGAATGATGGTTTCCTGCTTCATCCATGTCCCTACAAAGGACATGAACTCATCACTTTTTATGGCTGCATAGTATTCCATGGTGTGTATGTGCCACATTTTCTTAATCCAGACTATCATTGTTGGACGTTTGGGTTGGTTCCAAGTCTTTGCTATTGTGAATAGTGCCGCAATAAACATACGTGCGCATGTGTCTTTATAGCAGCATGATTTATAATCCTTTGGGTATATACCCAGTAATGGGATGGTTGGGTCAAATGGTATTTCTAGTTCTAGATCCCTGAGGAATCGCCACACTGACTTCCACAATGGTTGAACTAGTTTACAGTCCCACCAACAGTGTAAAGTGTTCCTATTTCTCCACATCCTCTCCAGCACCTGTTGTTTCCTGATTTTTTAATGATCGCCGTTCTAACTGGTGTGAGATGGTATCTCGTTGTGATTTTGATTTGCATTTCTCTGATGGCCAGTGATGATGAGCATTTTTTCATGTGTCTTTTGGCTGCATAAGTGTCTTCTTTTGAGAAGTGTCTGTTCATATCCTTCACCCACCTGTTGATGGGGTTGCTTTTTTCTTGTAAATTTGTTTGAGTTCATTGTAGATTCTGGATATTAGCCCTTTGTCAGATGAGTAGATTGCAAAAATTTTCTCCCATTCTGTAGGTTGCCTGTTCACTCTGATGGTAGTTTCTTTTGGTGTGCAGAAGCTCTTTAGTTTAAAAGCAGGTAGATTGTTAATTAAAATGATTAAGACTGTCTACTCCTTTACCTGGATGATATTATGTGTGTGTGTCTCTCTCTCAAACCTTCATATATAGAGTTCCATCTTGTGATAACATGAAATATATATTTGGTCTTGATCCCACTTCCTGGCACACAGCTCTGTCACTGGAGCAATGAGTGTTTTTTCTATGTTCATGAGATGGCTGGTGGCTCGGAGCCACTAGATAGCTTCACGATGGAGGCTGGTCACTGGAAAAACTTCATGATTAGAGGGTTGGGACTTTCAGCCCCACCCCAGACCTCTGGGAAGAGGAGAGGGGCTGAAGGTAGAGTTGATCACCAATGGCCAATGATGTAATCAATTATGCCTACATAATGAAGCCACCATAAAAACCCAAAAGAGGCCAGGTGCGGTGGCTCATACCTGTAATCCCAGCACTGTGGGAGGCCGAGGTGGGCACATCACCTGAGGTCAGGAGTTTGAGACCATCCTGGCCAACATGGTGAAACCCCATCTCTACTAAAAGTACAAAAATTAGCCGCGTGTGATGGTGTGTACCTGTAGTCCCAGCTACTCAGGGGGCTGAGGTGGAGGTTGCAGTGAGCCAAGATCGCGCCACTGCACTCCAGCCTGGGAGACAGAGTGAGACTTTGTCTCAAAAAAATAAAACTAAATTAAAATAAAAATAAATGTTTAAAAAAAACCAAAAGAACAGGATTCAGAGGGCTTCCAGATCATTGAGCTCACTTGTGTAGGTGCCTGGAGATTGGCATGCCTGGACAGGGCATGGAAGCTCCATGCCCCTTTCCACATGCCTTGCCCTATGCAGCTCTTCCATCTGGCTGTTCATCTGTATCCTTTGTAATGTCCTTTATAATAAGTGAGTAAACATAAGTAAAGTGTTTCCAAGTTCTGTAAGCCACTCTAGCAGACTGATCAAACCCAAGGAAGGTATCATGGGAACTCCTGATTTATAGCCAATTGGTCAGAAGCAGGTCACAGCCTGTGCTTGTGACTGGCATCTGAAGTGGGGAGAAGTCTTATGGATCTGAGTGCTCAGCCTGTGGGATCTGATACTATCTCCAGGTAAATAGTGTCAGAATTGAATTGAATTAGTAGAGGATGTCAACTGGTGTCTACTGGAGAATTGCTTGGTTGGTGTGTGGGGAAAACCCCCTACATATCTGGTATCAGAAGTGTTCTGTTGGGTGGAGTGTGAGGGAT
Organism: Homo sapiens; assembly: GCF_000001405.40. Taxonomy (NCBI): domain Eukaryota; kingdom Metazoa; phylum Chordata; class Mammalia; order Primates; family Hominidae; genus Homo; species Homo sapiens. The sequence continues at coordinate 63,932,683 of NC_000006.12, read as the reverse complement.
GGAAAAACACTTGTTTAGTTTTTTTCCTATACCTTTATTAGCTTTTCATAGGAGAATTTTTACTAGAATCAGAACTAGGAAAGCAAAGCAGCAGTGGGCATAGAGAGAAGAAGAAAGAACATCAAATATTAGGAAATAGAACAGGACTAAAAAATTCCCTGAAGGAGGAGTGCCAGAGGAAGGTGTAAAGAATAGTTATTGAGTGTTGAACCAGGTAACACGAATGCTAGAATAATTCCAGGAAGAAAAGAAAAGAGAATTCATTTAGTTTAGGCCACTTTTTTCTCAGGAGTCAGATGAACCTCCAAATGGGGATATCCAAAAATAGCTGCTAATGTTCAGTAGAAGCAGAAAAGGAAATCAGTATATTAAAGAGATACCTGCACCTTGGTATTTATTGCAGCATTATTCACAATAGCAAAGATAAAAAATCAAGCTAAAAGTTCATCAATAAATGAATAGATAAGGAAAATGTGGGACATGTACACAATAGAACAATATTCGGCCATAAAAAAGAATGAAATCCTGTCATTTGTGGCAATATGGATGGGCCTGGAGGACATTTTGTTGAGTGAAATAAGCAAGACATAGAACCGCATATTCTCATTCATATGTGAACCGCATGTTCACATTCATATGTGGAAACTACATATAGAAACCGCATGTTCTCATTCATATGTGGAAACTACAAAAATATGAGCTCATAGAAGTAGAGAATAGAATTGTGGTTATTAGAGGCTGGGAAATGTAAGGAGGAGAGGAGGATGAAGAGAGACTGGGTAACAATACAAAATTACAGTTAGATAGAAAGAATAAGTTCTAGCATTCTATAACACTGTAGGGTAAATGTGGTTAATGATAATTTATTATATGCTTTAAAAAAACAGAAAAGAAATTGTTAAATATTCACAACACAAAGGAGTGATCAATGTTTGAGGTGATGAGTATGCTAATTACCCTGATGTGATCCTTATACATTGTATTTGTGTATCAAAATATCACTCTGTATCCCATAAATATATACAGTTATTATGTGTGCCAACTAAAAAAAGAAAAACATGTTAACAATAGTCAGGGTTGACACATAGATTTGGGGTTAACTACATAGAGCTCAGGGTTGAACCATGTACTTCCTGAAAGGAAGCCAAAACAAGAGGAAGGCAGAGCAAGAAAGCATTTTATAGCAAAACTACATTGCCTAGAGTCAGAAGGGAGCAGAATGAGTAGTAGAGCAATTACAAAAAGAACAAAAGATGGAAGAGGTTATTCAAAATAGAAGAGTCAGAAGAGCACAATGTTAGAAACAAAGGGAAGGACCTTGAGGAAGAAGCTATAGGTAGCAACGATGGATGATGCAGAGAAGTGAGTGAGTGAGTGAGTAACAGAAAGAGCTGTTGTGCTGACATCCTAAGAGTCTGCTCTTGACTCTCAAGGAAGTAAATTCAGGAAGGTGGAAAGCAGATGTATGGGGTGGCTCATTAAGCCACCTGGGATAACAGACTCTTCTTTAAAAAAGAGTGAGGCTGAAGAGCAACTGTTTTCTATTGGAAGTGTTTCCTCTTTAAAAGAAAAAGCTAATCTCAGGTGATCATACAACCCAGTTTATGCCTGTTGTCCCAAGTGAATGACTAAAAGTGTGCCCTTTCACTCTTCAAATATAATCTGTTAAGAAGATAACCTTTGTAATTCCTGGCAAGGCAAAGGAAGGGCTGCACTCTTTCTCTCAAACAACCAGAAAGGGGAAGAAATTATAGAAAGACTCAAGGAAATGCTAATATGATCATCAAGGGTGTTTATGGGTTCAATCAAATGTTCTTTATCTTTCCAATAAATTATAGACTAGGATAAAGGGGTGGGTTGCAAGGTTTGGAAACACGGCCTCATTAATTTATGCCTGTGGTGACCGAGAACACTCACCACTTTCCTGCAGTATTGGAGGGGTCAATCTGAGTCTTCAACCTGCCATTTCAATGGAGAAGAAAATCAAATTTGGAAATAACCCATGATGAAGTTTTGACATACCTTTGTGTTGTGGGATTTTTAAAAATTCTTCTTTATAAGTTTCTTCTTTACATTTTTATATCTAAAATAAGCATTAATTTGGTAATCAGTTAAAAAAACAATGATTTGAAAATCAATCTATTTGTTGTTTTAGGATATGAAGACCCCTTCAGTATGCTAGTTTGAAGAGAGATTGTGAAGCCAGGGAAGAACAGTAATCATAGCACACTACTAATCTATGCAGGATGCATTTAAATAATAATGATGCTATAAACACTTATTGGTTTTCAATTTTTGGATGTTACCTATCAGTAAAACACATAAAACTGAATCAAGGTTACAAAACTGAATGTAAACGTGATCAACCTTGACACTTTTTGTTTGGTTTTTGGGTGGGGGGGGTGGGTTTCTTACATTTTTAATTGACAAATAATAATTGTATATATTTTGGAGGTACAACGTAATGTTTTAATACATATATACACTGTGGACTGAATACATCAGGCTAAGTAATACATCCATCACTTCACATACTTATTATTTCTTTATGGTGAGAATTGTAAAAGCCACTCTTTTGAAGTAAAGGTGGAACTGGCGGAAAACAGAAGCTGGCAATAAGGACAGAGGACAGCAAATAAGGCAAGGTGTTAATATTTTAATCTCACACGGTAGGAAGTCAAGAGATATTGAGTAAATAAGACGTGACGACACATAGGTTTCAGTTTATTGTATTAATAGTACAATGATAACTAATAGGGTAAGTCAAATACCAGGCATAAATATTAGGAGAGAGTAGTTTAAATGAACTAAACTCTTCCTTAGCATAAAATTAACAGAATTTGATTGATCAAGAAAAAGTAAAATCATACAGTGAGAGGAAAGAACAGAATGGCAGAAAAACCTACTGTCTCCAGAAAACTCAGTGTAGAAAAAGGATGAGTGAGGACTGCTATGTTTCATTATGAGTCTTTCTATTCTACTCAGATTTTTACCCTGTGAACGTGTTACTTTGCTAAATTATTAAACAGAGAGAAAATTTAATAGTAATAGCAGTTGACAGAGCCTTCCTTTCGAAGCAGCTGACAGAGCATCATACAAGTGCAGTCTGTAGTTTTAAGATTTCAAGCCATGCTAAAATAATTCCAAATTTACTTGTACAAAATGCTGGGTTTAGTAATGTGGAGAAGAAAATGATTCTACGAAATTAAAGGGATACTCAAACCTTTCAATGACAAATCCAGTCTTGAGATGTTATTCCTTCTAACCTAAGGAGAGAGAACACTCCATCAGTTGCTTCTTCTCCTGTGGATATAACAGCTGTCTGTGTCTTGAGGCAAGTGAGAATCAAGAGCGCCAAAGAAAATAGCAGTTGACACAGACCCTGCAGACTACAGTTTTCTTACAGTTTACTGATCACTACTTATTTGGTTTTTGTTAGATTTCCTGGGCTTTTGTTTAGTAGAGGGGAGCTTAGCTTGATGCATGGAAATCAGATTAGAAACAGTTCACTTCATCTAATTTGGTTTTCATTAAAATTCCTTAAATAACAGATAAGTAAACATTATTGATGACATGCTCATGGATCCCATTTGACCCCGTCTACTTGCCTAGATAAATCCAGGCAATGTCTTTCCAGGACTCAATAGAAACTGGACATTGCATGTTTCAGTTAGCCTCAAATTATTACTGATGCTCTTGTGGATTTGTATAAATCATAAAATCACCTCCTGCTTCTCTGACTGGATTTTAGCTCCAACAGAAACTCTTCGTTTAAAGACTGATTGTGTTGTCAGCACTCCCTCTCAAATCCCATTAGTGATTCCTTCAATGTGCAGGCCCCCTAGGTGGGTTTTGGTAATTGTGTATCTCTGTAAGACTTTCAGGAAGCTTGGTAGGGTATCATTAAGCTGAGTGTACTAATGCGTTGATCCAGGCGCAACCAGAACTAGTGGGATTTGAATTGAAACTTGAATTAAAATGTCAGGAAGAAATTGTCCTTTAAGCAGATGCTACCTGACCCAATACTGGAAATCAAGAGATGAAAACTTTACCATTTAAAGTGAGATAGAATATATGTAACGATATATACTTATTATCATGCCCACCTCAGCACCTACGCATGCGCACACGCACACACACACACACACACACACACACAGTCAAAAGGTGAGCAACAGTAGATGCCTGTGCCTCCTTACTTCAAATTATTTTGTCATTTGACAAATATTCACTGATCACCTATTGTATGTCTGATAATGTCATAAGCACTTTAGACACATCTGTGAATAAAACATACAAAAATATTTGCCTTCATGGAGCTTATTTTCTAATGTAATCCTAGGCAATGAGAAGAATGAATCAGTATAGCATTATGTACTTTTTTTTAAGATAGGCACAAAGCTGAGCCTAGAGCCAGTCTACCAAACACTGTAGAAGAGTCATAGAGCATTTGAAAAATAAGTCAGCATAAACCTTCTCTTTCTGCTAGTAATCAGTTATTTTACAAGCCAGTGTTGTCTAGCACTTTAAATGTTCAAAGCATCAAAATACGTCAGCACGATTGATCTTCTCAACTTCTATTATACCATTATACCATTGAGAAAAGGACACAGAGAGGCTAAGTGATCTACCTAACATTACACAGCTCATCGGAAACCAATGCTTTTTCCATTATGCCATACTGTTCTTCTAAGTTAGTGGAAAATGCATGAGACTTCAATCTAGAGTAGAGAAGCCTGTCTGAGCATCAAAAGAACAAAAGCCTAGGAAGCTCATAAATTTTCATGTAATTTCAGGGATGGAGGTGACCTCAACAGTCATGACTATAAAAAGCTATTCCTTCACCACTACCTCCAAGCTACCTAACACAGCCATCCTATGTTCATTCAGTAGCTTAAAGTATCCGCTGCCCAGCGTCTGTCTCAGAAGCCTGGCTTCTGTTTCTAGCATCTGCTTAACGATCTCTTGAGCCAGAGATTCAGCAGCAACTGGTTTCCATCTTGACACACTGATAATATGTCAGAGTTAAAGTTAAGGAGTTACTGAGTATTTCTGGCCACAGGAGGAATATAGAATATTAAACTGAAATGATATCTAAAAAGTGCCATCTCAAAAAACTCACCTTAACCACACTCAGCCCACAACAGAAAAAATTTAAAAAGGAACATCCATCTCAATTCGAGTGACATTTTTTCCAGATCAGCAGAAATGTTAATTGTTTTATGATCATGACTTTTTAGGCTTCCATAAGGCAAAGTAATAACAAATCTTCAAAGTCTGTCAAGTGTTTGGGCCATGGCTCATGATACAATGACTAGCAAATTACTGCCTTAAATCTGACTTAATGCAAAGGGCAACTGGCCCAAAGTCAGCCAACATGACCTCTTATCTCATTTTTGTCTTTTATTAAGTGCAGGATCCTGATTAGTAACATTGAGCTAGAGACATGCATAGATAATCTCGTTTATTCCTAAAAATAACTGTTTGATGGTAATATCCCTACTTTTCTGCGGAAACAAACTGAGGCTCAGAGAGGTCAAGTAATTTCCCAACATCACACAGCTATTAAGAGCAGAACAGACTAAGAACCCAAGTTTTCCTATGACTCCAAGACCATGTCCATTTTATTAGTCTTCATCCAATTCACAGAAAATGAGCATAACGACACCCACCCAATCTTTCTCCCAAAGCTGTTGTGAAATCAAGTGAGCTAATATTTACTTTAGAAGCTCTTTGAAAAAATCCACAAATATTTATTGAAATCTTATATCTGCTTAGTACTGAGTTGAGTATTAATATAATAGTTGAATTCTAAAGTCCAAAGTACAGCCTTTACCCAAGTGCAGGTCATTATTGTTAATTTGTACGTAATAGTAATGACAGCAATAAGTAACTTTCCTTATGTTTTAAGTACTGAGAACTTCTGGAAGCATTATAAGCAGAAGTACCATTAAACTCTCTACATTATCCATGACTATTACTGTGAAGTTATTACTATCATAGACATCCACAATGATCCAAAATCTGTGATTGAATGTCTGGACTAACTGTCAAAATGTGGCCCAAGTATTCAGTCTAGTTCCTGTACTGATAATCATTTATAAGCCACTTACCCTCTTTCTCCCTTCACCTTCGGTCTTTAATATAATAGAAAAAGAGTAACCTGCCATTAGGAGTGCTGTTAAGATACTGCAGCTCTCAGAGACTGGCTCTAAGACATGCTGAGCCCATTAAATGCACTGTAAAAGTCCCAAGTGGTATTAATGTTTAACTTTTACATACAGTATGCTACAGGAGAAACAACTACACAGAAAATAACAATGCTAAGGGCCCTTCCTGCTAGACCATTATAGCTAAGAAGAAAAAGCCAATTGTTCCCTTTGTATAGCTTATCATAGCATGTGGTAGGGATTCTATCATTCTGTAATGTTTTTCTGGAGTGATTGAAAGTTAAGAATATGCTTGACTAGATTAATTCCCACTTTCCACAGAATTGAACTAAACATCTTAAAAAGTGACAGTTAATGGGAACTTTGAAAGATTATCTAACTATTGACAAGCCCATGCTGATAGGATGATCCCTGTGGATAAAGCACAATGCCATGTTCTCACTCATAAGTGGGAGTTGAACGACGAGAACACATGGACACAAGGAAGGGAACATCGGGGGGTGGGCCCAGGGGTGGGAGAGCATTAGGAGAAATAGCTAATGCATGCGGTGCTTAAAACCTAGATGACAGGGCCAGGCGTGGTGGCTCATGTCTGTAACCTCAGCACTTTGGGAGGCCGAGGTGGGCGGATCACGAGGTCAGGAGATCTAGACCATCCTGGCTAACACGGTGAAACCCCGTCTCTACTAAAACTACAAAAAAATTAGCCAGGCGTGGTGCCACGTGCCTATAATCCCAACTACTCGGGAGGCTGAGGCAGGAGAATGGCTTGAACCTGGGAGGCAGAGGTTGCAGTGAGCCAAGATCGTGCCACTGCACTCCAGCCTGGGCTATAGAGCGAGACTCTGTCTCAAAAAACAAACAAACAAAAAACCTAGATGACAGGTTGATAGGTACAGCAAACCACCATGGCACATGTATACCTATGTAACAAACCTACATGTTCTGCACATGTATCCTGGAACTTAAAGTAAAATCAACAACAACAGAAAAAGCACAATGCCAAAGAAACCAGAAATACGTGAAAGTAATTAAATACCAAATAAAATGTTCCACAACTTCTATTTTATACAGGCCAGTAAAATGAGTTCAAATTGTTGAATTTTCATGTAAGAATGCTCAAAATTTTCTACTACCTAGGATAGGTAAAATATACTCATTTTCTGTAGTACTTCCTTCTGTTTCTCTTGTTATTCTTTCTGATGAACAGGACTGATGAAATTTAGAGCTGAAGAATACCAGTAAATTAGAGGAGCTGCCATTTTGTCTGGAAATGTACATTTTTCATGGATATTTGACAGCATTGCCCACAACTTCTCCCCTTACTAGGGCATTTTAATGAGGATTTCTGTCTTTAGCTTAATTCTCAGGGCTGCTTTCTTAAGTCATTGGTAGTTTCATTTTACAGAAATGAGGCTCAGAAGATTAAGTTGCCCAAAGATGTCCAGCATATAAATTATTATGCTGTGAGCATCTAATGCTGTTGTCAAAACCCAAACTATACATATGAACGAGCTTGTTTTATGTGCTTAGGTCCTGTGTCAATGTTGCGGGTAGTGGTGAAGAAAATCTCACTTCTTAGTTCCCCACGCAATCAGTGGCAGAATTCACCAACAAACATAGTGATGATCCCAAACCTCTTCACATATATTATTTATTTCCCATTTTTACTTTTCTGTTATGCACCAAAGAGGAAAAAAAGCCAAGCTGAGAAGATAAATTCTAATTTTGAAAATCTAGTTTATTCATTCTGTCTTGGCCATAGTGGAAAAACTGTTATAGAATCTTAGAAAGTAACCACTGAAACTTAAAGATGATCTGGCCTTGGCTTCATATTTTACACATCAGGAATCTGAGCCCCTATAGAAACTAAATGATTGATTGCCCCTAGGTTACAAAGATTGTTAAGGGCTGCTTATACTGATGATAACCCCCCAAAAATAGTTCTCTCAATATCAGTTGCAGCCTCACCATTAAGTAATTGTTAGCACACCTTGCATTGACTACCAGGTGTTTCACAAACGATGCTATTTTGTGCTCTAAACAATGTATTTCTCTAAAACACTATGCAGAAGTTATCCTTGCACAGAGTGTATCACTTGCATGCCACTACACAGACAACTTCAGAATGCTTTTCTCCAGTAAAGAGGCTCTTCTTTTTCCACACGAAGCATTTCAAGGGTAGCTCTGAGCAATTCACTTTGCATAGAAACTGGTATTAAACTGAGTTTTGATTCACTATAAGCCTGAAAACATAAGTCATGTTTAGGCTTGTAACATGGCAATCACCCCATCATTTCACATTTTAGAAACTGTAGCATAAGACCCAATTAATTCTGAGAGGAAGAAGTAGCTATACAACTTTTTAAAGAAGTGACATGTAAAATCATATGCAGTGAGGTAAATTTCCTTCCCATCACTGAATTCAAAATAGCATAAGCTTTAGAGAATTCCTTTTTGAATTTATTATGCATTTTCTCTGTAAGCTTTTGAAAAAAAAAAGAGATCTATGAATAGAACCATTTGACTGGTTATTTCATTATGTTTATTGACCAATCAGATTCTAGAAATTAAGATAAAGGATTTAGTATTTAATTTTTTATGGTACCAGCCAGAGTCTATAAGGAGAGTAAAGGTTAGGCTTACATTATTCTAAGCAAATTAATGCAGGAACAGAAAGCCAAATACCGCATGTTCTCACTTATGAGTGGAAGCTAAACAATGGGTACTCATAGACATAAAGATGGCATCAATAGACACTGGGGACCATAGACGGGGGAGAGAAGGAGGAGGACAAAGGTTGAAAAACTATTGTGTACTATGCTCAGTACCTGGGTGAAAGGACCAGTCGTACTCCCAACCTCAGCATCACGCAATATACCCAGGTAACAAATCTGCACATGTACCCTCTGAATCTAAAATAAATGTTGAAAGTATTAAATATAATTTTTTTCTTATAAAAATTTTTTAAAGATTTGGCTTAAACAGTAGTACATCTTAGTATCAAAGGCTTAAGTAGGCAGTGTTATTTGCTATTTTCTTTTCTAATTAGCATCTTTAAAAAAGAAATATAACCTATAATTTTAATGACCTTTACTATCCAGAAAATTGTGGTTCGTTTACCGTAATACTGTCTAAACTTTTACACGTTAACTTACTCTTTGCTTCCACCTAGTGTATGGTGGGTAGTATAGCAACATTTTTTAAATGGCATATTTGCATAAAATGTTCTTGAAAAAAGAACACGTGGATTTTGTCCCTTTTGTCTTGTAATTTTAAAAGTATAGTATTTTATTTTCTATTCTAGGGGAATGAAATTAACACACTAAAAAAATAAAAGTACAATTAATATATTTTCCTATTCTTAGAAGACCTATAAGCATTATTTTTACAGCATCCTATAACAGCCTATGGCATCTTTCAGACTGAAACATTACTTTAGCAAACTTACAATGCATTGATGTACACATTTATAAAGTGTGACAACTCAAAGGGACCCCAGACACCATTCGAGTACTAATCTTTTATTTTTCAGATGAGGACATTGAGGCCTGAGGGATAAAATGACTTCTTCAAAGTCACAACGTCAGTATTTGTCAAGGCAAGACTAGAAATGAGGTCAGCTGGCTCCCAATCCTGGGTGCCTTTTAACATATACCCTGCTTTTTGGATTAGATATCAGAGTTAGTGTTCTAAAATGAATCATGTTAGATTAATAGAAAATTACCTTTAGATAGCTTTATAAAATCACTCTCTCAAAATTAGGCTAGCTCCCACAAGAACCAATTTTTCTACATTGAGGACAAACAATGACGCATCTTATGAAAGGAAAATTAATAGTGAGGTATGAGAAGTTACATTTTTATTTTTATTTAAACTCATTATAGCGTAGTCCTTTTTCTTTTGAGACATGCCTAATTATCTTCTCTCCCTAGACCTGAATTTTTTTTTGAGGCAGAGTCTCATTCTGTCACCCAGGCTGGAGTGCAGTGGCATGATCTTGGCTCACTGCAACCTCCGCCTCCCAGGTTCACATGATTCTCCTGCCTCAGCCTCCCAAGTAGTTGGGATTACAGGCACCTGCCACCATGCCCAGCTAATTTTTGTATTTTTAGTAGAGACAGGGTTTTACCATGTTGGCCAGGCTTGTCTTGAACTCCTGACTTCAAGAGATCTGCCTGCTTCGGCCTCCCAAAGTTCTGGGATTACAGGCGTGAGCCACTGTACCAGGCAAGACCTGAAAAATTTTCAAAGTTGTTAATAATCTATAATAACAAATCTAAATGTATTAGCCAGCTTGAGTTACCATAACAAAAATACCATAGATGGAGTGATTTAAACAATGAATATTTGTTTTCTCACAGTTTTGGAGGCTGGAAGTTCAAGGTCAGGTTGCCAGAATGGCTGGGTTCTGGGGACTCTCTTCTTGTTTTACAGAGGGCCACCTTCTTGCTCCACACAGCCTTTCCTCGAAGGCTGTGTGTGTAAATCTCTCTCCCTTTCTTTTCTTATAAGGCCACAGTCTTATTAGGTTAGGCCCCCACTTATATGACCTCCTTTTAACTTTATCTCCTTACGAATACCTACCTTTTCCATGCATTGCTCATAGAAGATGTGTGTTAATAATGCCATTTTTTGTCTTTGGTAAAATCTTCTCAAAACTGTGAGACACAAATCTTAAGAATGTTGATGTTTGAATGGACCTCTCAACACTTTCCATTCTATATTTCCAATTTTGTAGAAGAGGAAACTGAAACCCACTGGGGTTCCTAATAATGATATTGTTCCTATTGATTTCAAAAATGCTCTAACACTTTTTCATTATCTCTTTACATCATCCCTGTGAGGAATACTTGGTAGGTGTTACTATTATGATTTTATCCATAAGGAAACAAAGCCCACCAGAAGCTACACAGCACATGCCGGGGCCCAAAGTCCCAAAGATCGAGTCACAGATGCGTCAGCGGGAGTGTGAACCAGCAAGAATTGCCACCGCATATGTCCAAACCCAGTCACCCAATCACAAAACCATACTACCAGGATATCTGTAATTAATTTAAACTAAAACGGAAATCTAAACTTTAATTAATGACATGCAGAAATGCAAAATCATAAAGAGCAGCTAGTAGAACGGGGAGTAGAAAGAATGAGGATCAACAGCACAACATGGACAGAGCCACAGAAACACCACACAGGGTTTCATGGCTTAACTCTTCATATTTTTCGAAGTGCTTTGGCACATGGTGCATCTTGTGCCCTCCACAGTCACACAGTGCAGCGGGTAACCAGTTCTCAACTGCAGATAAGAAGACAGCCCATGGCCGGCGCGGTGGCTCACGCCTGTAATCCCAGCACTTTGGGATGCCGAGGCGGGCAGATCACGAGGTCAAGAGAGTGAGACCATCCTGGTTAACACGGTGAAACCCTGTCTCTACTAAAAATACAAAAACAAAATTAGCCAGGTGTGGTGGCCAGTGCCTGTAGTCCCAGCTACTCAGGACGCTGAGGCAGGAGAATGGCGTGAACCCGGGAGGCGGAACTTGCAGTGAGCCGAGATCGCGCCACTGCACTCCAGCCTGGGCAACAGAGTGAGACTCTGTCTCCAAAAAAAAAAAAGGAAGAAAGAAGAAGAAGAAGACAGTCCATAGGATGGTGTGAGGGCCTTATCTGAGGTCACAAAGAGTTTCTCCACTCCCTTTCCAGTGCTCATCACACACAGCCACACGGCCTGTCCTAGGTGGACCAAGTGTGAAATTAGACATTCCCAATGTTTGAGTGCCTGGAAGATGATTGTTTTCTGAAAACTCAAAAGTTTGTTTTTTTGGAAAGTACTCCCCTTACAGCAGTCAGGGTCCTGTCAGGAAGCTGAATCCAACTCATGTGGTTCAACAGACTTCCCTGAATTTTATTTTCACACCTGTTGGAGTGTTAAGGGAAACAAGAAGTAAACTAGACACTTGGAGATCATCAGGAAGGAGAAGTTTTTGCCACTCCTAGAGCCAACGGGAAGGAAATACTGTTTGTGGGAGCCCAGTGAAAACTGAAGCTGTGAAGCTGTGAGAACAGGAGTTGTTGTCTAAAGGAGACAGAACCTTCCAGAAAACATGGCCCAGGGCAGGGAGGAAAATACACTGACTTCTCTTTCCTCCTACCCTCTGGTCTCTTGCTGGTGCCTCTCACTAACTAAACTTTATCAGAATCCACCAGTAGGAGATCTTAGGGGAGGAATGGAGAAGGGTCAGCTCCCTGGACAGAGAAAAGGACAGGAGGAAAATAACAGACCTGTGGAGCAGGTGGAAAAGGACAATAAACTGCATATCCTTTATCTTTAAAAGTGCATTCTATTAAAAAAAAAAGGCTTTGGAATGCTACTAATCAAACCTTTAATATTCCATATTTTACTAAAACTGTAAGTGCGTTACTAAAACTACACACAGATACACACAAACTAGATAGATGATAGGTAGATAGACTTTCTTCAAATCATTGGTAACCAAAAATAAAACAGATACAAGTTATTGTTTGCCAGAGGAGTCAGAAAACAAACAACAACTTGATTTACGCAATTTACGTAGAGCCACACATCCCAATATGTGGAAAGGTGGATAATTAACCACATGTTTCATGGGAATGTGGCAGTCGGACTGTACAGTCTTGCTAAATAAAGATGAAACTGCTGCTGCAGCACACAAAAAATTATGTGAAACATACTGCTGGATCTAAAAGCTCCTGGGGTGAGTGTAAAGAAAACAGAGTGGACGTGTGTAGCAAGCAGAGGAAGTTTTGTTGGCAAGTACCAGCAGTAACTGTGGCTTCGCCACTTTCCTTTCACCTAGGGAAATCATCCCAGGATGCGGAGTGCTGACCAGGTCAAGAGAGGGATTGCCAAACCTTCCCCCAGTCCCCCAGAAGAGCTGGCCTGGGAGATTAAATTAAGTCTATGTCACAGTTTAATATCATTTTATGCCTGCTTTCCAAACTCTCTTGTCTACATTTTGCCATCAAGGGAGATAGGAAATAAAATTACAATTTGAATTAGATACAAAGGGGACTGGAAATTATACCTTTATCCAGTTTGAAGAAGGATGTGTGGGTTGGGATTTTTTTTTTTCAGTAAAATCTGAAGCAAAATATTTCAGTCTTATGAAGTTGGACTAAAACAACCTCTCAGGCTGCACAAAAAAAAAAAAAAAAAAAAAAAGTCTGTTCCCTTTTCCCCTTCCTTCTTCCCCGCCCCTGAGCCACCCTCACACACACACTTCTCTCCACTTCTGTTGCCCACTACTCATGTGGTCTTCCCATCCAGCCTGTCAATACCTGCCCCAAACTCACTGCTACCTTCCTTTGGGACCATGGTTGCTGCCCTGCATTCCTCAGCGATGCCCTGCTCCTTTCTCCCCAAAATTTACTTACTTTCCTTCTCCTAGTTTTCTTAGACTAGAAAAATGGCCTCAGAGCACAGCTTTGAAGAAAGTCGCTGCTGAAAGTTAAGTGTATTATAGCCCTGGGTACCCAATTACCCTGAATGTAAGCCTAATGCCAGGCTTGCAAAGGATTCTCTACAAATTCTTGCAAATGTATTGGACTGGAGCAGCCACTCCTGAAAGCTTTTACATGACTTAATAAAATAAGGAATGTGTACTTTGCTTCTTTCTTACAAAGGTGCTTGTAACTAATTAAGGAGGCAGAAAAATGCTACACTTGTTTAGCACTTGCTTAGTGTAGCATTTCTCTACCTCTTTAGTTAGTTATAATTACCTTTTAAATGGAAATGTACTTGTTTCGACGGAAATGATATACAGCACTTATAATAAGTGAGGTGAGTGCTGCTGGCTTTGAATACCCTTGCTGCCACCTGGCTAATTCTCCCTCAGCTTGAAGATTTGGCTCTGTGTCATCTTCTTGGACTCTTTACTGATACTGCATGACCAGGCTGAGTTGCTTTCTGGACTCACAGGCAGATCTGTGGATGAGCTCCTTAGGATGAGCACCTATTGCCAATGAAATATCTCCAGGATATTGCTCATTTTGCATCTTAGCATGTAACACAATGTCTATGTTACAGGGTGGAAATGCAATTTTCATCTATGGAATTGAACTAATGGTCAAAGAAGCAAGAAGAATTACCATATTAAGTAGGCATGCAACCTAGTATTCAAAATTATAATCAATGCGTTCATGTTAATAAACCACCTAGATTTTAGGATACTATTTTTCTTTAATGTAGTAACTAAATATAAAATATTTCAGTAATGCTGCTTATCTAAATTAATCACGTAATCTCATGGCATTATATAGCATCAGATTACAAAGGATGGCATGGATCCTACTATAAATGTTATGCGGTAATTCCCATCAGGAGTATTATTTATGCAATCTTTTATCTGCATTTGCACTTAGTTGCCAATATTATCTGCATTACAGATTGCCTTGAGGTAATTCTTAAATCTGCACAGCCTGGGATAAAGACACTCTAGTACAGAGAATAACTGTTTATGTACTAACTGGATCTCCTGAACAATATACAAAACAAGGCTTTGCAGGATTTTGAATACTTTCCTTGCTGAGTGACTCTTATCTGAATAGTACCCCAAACTAATGCATGGTGTGTACTTTGTTAAGGGCTTTGGAGCCGGCAATAGGAAAGGAGAGCTGAAGAATCTATTTTCCCTTGTTTCCCGCTGATAAGGCTCATTAAAGTAAATCGGAGTGATGCCTACACACCAATGGGAGCATACATCCCCAGGGTTCTGTCTACCCTAAAAATTGGACTCATCATAAAAGCTGTGTAACTCAGCCTTTTGTGAAATCTACTTTATTGATTTTACCTTTATTGCCTATTTCATGTCTGTTTTAATTTCAATTCCTGCCATTTGACATTTGGTACAAACAATAATTTTAAGAACATTTTATCCACAATTTTTCCCAGTGTTCATAAGTTATGCATTTATCTAAACGGATTTTAAAATACATAAAGAAAGGTAAGAACTGGGGTTGGTCAAGTACAAAAGTTGAAGGTGAGACTGTTCCTTATCCTGTTGCTATGTCTTTTAGCATGAACAGAGGAAAATGCCAAAGCCTTTAAAAGACTCTTGGACACAGTGTATTTTTCCAAATATACAGAGGTTGTTTGCAGTTAGCTTTAGTATAAATATTAAGGTCTTAACTACAGTGAGAGCAGATTATGTAGCTTTGTCCTTGTATGACTTTTTCCACTATTCTATCAGCTACTTCTATCAACCAGTATTTCTATGCTTAGCCAGACCAACAACTGACCTTCAGAAAGATGGCCCTGAGCTGGGTTGCAAGATCCTGAAGTGCATTCTCTAAACACATACATGTGCACATGCACGCGCGTGCACGTGTACACATGCACACACAGTTACATGACACTGCTTGTATCAGAAACCAAGGAATTTCATAACACAAATATCTTTGAAAAATTTTTATATTGCCGTCATGAACAGTACACATAACTAAATTCTTTCCTTTCCTCACTGTTAAATAACACTTCCTGACCTGTCAGCTTCTAAATTGTCCCTTCTGAAACATTCCGTGTCCTCTCACTAACATGAGACAAGATTAATTGTTCCTGTGGGGTAAATACACAGCACCTGGAACTTCTTGCTTTACTGTCACTGCATGTTTCATTGCTGCTTTTCTCCATCGACTCCAGCAAACAGAGGCTATGGCTATGTTTTAGTCATGCACAAAGATGGTGTAAATATAACGTATGCTACAACAGCAAATCGGACATAACAAGAGAGAAAAAGATAATTGCATTTCATCAAAATTTAAAACATTTGTGTTTCAAGGATGCCATCAAGAAAATGAAAAGACAACCCACAGAATGGGAGAAAGTATGTACAAATTATATATCTGATGAAGAACTTGTATCCAGAATATATATTTTTAAAAAAACTCTCACAAAACAACAATGAAAAGACAAATCATCAAATTTCAAATGGGTAAAAAATTCGAATAGACATTTTTCCAAAGAAACACACAAATGGCCAAAAAGCACAAGAAAATAAATGCTTAACATCATTAGCATTAGGGAAACAAAGACCAAAACCACAATGAGATACCATTTCACATCCACTAGGATAGCTGTAGTCAAAATTATAGACAATAACAGTTAAGGCAAGGATATGAGAAAATTGAATTTTCATACATTGCTGATGAAATGGTGCAGCCACTTCGGAGAGAAGTTTCCACTACTACATTTATACCAGAATAAAATGAAAATATATGCCAACAATCATCTGAGCCTTCAGTGTGTTGTCATCTTTCCGCAGGTAGAGGGTCTTGTCTGGATGTTGATGGCTGCTGACTGAGCAGGATAGTGGTTGCTGAATGTTGAGATGGCAGTGACAATTTCTTAAAATAAGACAACAGTAAAGTTTGCCAAATCAATTAAATCTTCCTTTTAAGAAACATTTCTTTGTAGCATGTGATGCTGTTTGATAGCATTTTACCCATAGCAGAACTTGTTTCAAATCCTACCACTGCTTTATCAACTAAATTTCTGTATACTCTGAATCCTTTGTTGTCATTTCAGTAACGTTTACATCAACTTCACCAGGAGTAGATTCCATCTCAAGGGACCAACATCTTTGCTCATTCATAAGAAGCAACTTCACATTCATTAAAGTTCTATCATGAGATTGCAGCAATTCAGTCACATCTTCAGGCTCCAATTCTAATTCTAGTTCTCTTGCTTTTTCACCACATCTGCAATTACTTCCTCCACTGAAGTTCTGAACCCCTCAAAGTCATCCATGAGTACTGGAATCAACTTCTTCCATACTCCTGTTAATGTTGCTATTCTGACCACCTCCCATGAATCATAGGTATTCTTAATGGCATATAGAATGGTGAATTCTTTCCAGAAAGGTTTCAACTGACTTTGCCTAGTCCATCAGAGGAATCACTATTTATGGCAGCTATAGCCTTACAAAAATACATTTGTTAAATAATAAGACTTGAATGTCAAAATACTCCTTAATTCATGGGCTACAGAATATATGGTTTATCAGCAGGCATGAAAACACTAGTCTCCTTGTGCCTCTCCAACAAAGCTTTTGGGTAACCAGGTGCATTGTCAATGAGTAGCAGTATTTTGAAAGGAATCTTTTTTCTGAGCAGTAGGTCTCAACAGTAAGCTTAAAACATTCAGTAAACCATGCTGTAAACAGAGGTGCTATCATCAGGCTTCATTGTTCCATTTGTAGAGCACAAGCAGAATGGCTTTAGCATAATTCTTAAAGGCCCTAGGATTTTCAGGATGGTAAATGAGCATTGGCTTCAACTTAAAGTCACCAGCTGCATTAGCCCCTAACAAGAAAGTTGGCTTGTCCTTTGAAGTTTTGAAGTCAGGCATTGACTTCTGTCTAGCTTAGAAAGTCCTAGATGGCACCTTCTTTCAATATAAGGCTATTTTATCAACATTTAAAAATCTATTGTTTAGTGTAGCCACCTTCATCAATAATATTAGCTAGATTTTCTGAATAACATGCTGTAGCTTCTACTAGCACTTGCTGCTTCACCTTACACTTTAACGTTATAGAGATGGCTCTTTCTTTAAACCTCATGAACCAACCTCTGCTAGCTTCAAACTTTTCTTCTGTAGCTTTCTCACCTCTCTCAAGCTTCATACAATCAAAAAAGAGTTAAGGCCCTGCTCTGGATTAGCTTTTGGCTTAAAGGAATGTTGTCTGGTTTGTTTTTCTATCCAGACCACTAAAACTTGCTCCATATCAGCAATAGAGTTGTTTTGCTTTTTTTTTTTTTTTTTGAGACGGTTGAGACAGGGTCTTGCTCTGTCACCCAGGCTAGAGTGCAGTGGCGCAATCTTGGCTCACTGGAATCTCTGCCTCCCGAGTTCAGGTGATTCTCCTGCCTCAGCCTCCTGAGTAGCTGGGATTACAGGCTCCTGTAACCATGCCCAACTAATTTTTGTATTTTAGTAGAGATGGGGTTTCACCCTGTTGGCCAGGCTGATCTCGAACTCCTTACTTCAGGTGATCTGCCCACCTTGACCTCCCAAAGTCCTGGGATTACAGGCGTGAGCCACTGCACCCGGCCTTGTTTTGCCTTATCATTTGTGTGAACAATGGATTTTTTAAATTCCCTTCAAGAATTTTTCCTTTGCATTTACAACTTGGCTGTTTGGTGCAAGAGGCCTAGCTTTCTACCTATCTTAGCTTTCTACATGCCTTCCTCACTAAACTTCATCATTTCTAGCTTTATATTTAAAGTGATTTGGACAGTTTAAGTGAGACTCTTTCTTTTACTTAAACACTTAGAGGTCATTGTAGGGTTATTAATTGGCCTAATTTCAATATTGTTGTGTCTTGGGGTATAGGGAGTCCTAGAGAGAGAGATGTGGGGAGCAGACAGTCAGTGGAGCAGTCAGAATACATACAACATGTTTCAATTAAGTTCACCATCTTATATAGGAGTGGTTTGTGGCACCTGAAAACAATTACAATAGTAACATCAGGGATCACTAATCACAGACTACCATAAAATACGTAATAATGAAAAAGTTTGAAATATTACCAGAATTACCAAAATGTCACAAAGAGACAGAAAGAAGCATACGCTGTTGGAAAAATGACATTGATAGACTTGATGTAGGGTTGCCACAAACCTTCAAAAAAAACACATTATCTGCAATGCACGATAAAACAAGACACAATAAAACAAGGTATGTCTGTACCTGAATATTCATAGCAGCATTGTTCATAACTAAAAGGTGTAAACCCAAAGGTCCATCATCTGATGAATGGATAAACAAAATGTGGTATATACATACGGAAGAAAACTATTGTAATAATAAAAGGAATGAAGTACTGATGCATGCTACAGCATGAATGAACCTTTAAAAATAATACTAAGCGAAATATGCCAAACATTTTTAATGATACAATTTATATGACATTTTCAAATTAGACAAATCTATAGAGACAGAAAATAGATGAGTAGTTGCCTAAAACTAAGGACATGGGAAGTATGTATAGTGCATGATAATGGGCATGGAGCTTCTGTTTAAAATGACAAAAATGTTCTGAAATTGGATGATGGTATTTGCACAACTCTATATGTGCACTAAAAACCATTGAACTGTATGCCTTAAATGAGTGAATTTTATTGTATATAAATTCTATCTCAATAATTGTTAGCACATATATTTATACAAAATGAACAGTTCACATGTCAGTTTTCTTCTTTCTCCTACATCCAAGTGCCTGGAGTAATCTTATGGATGGGGAAAGGAAATATGAAAACTCTCCAGTGTTTGCAAGAATTGAGAGCTAAAACAACTGAGACATTTATAACTCTCATAGAGTTGCTTTCTGGCTCCCTTTAGGGGATATGAAAAAATGACTTTCCCTGGTTCAGCCTGAGAAAAAGCTATCTGGCAAGTTGTCAAAGTTCATTTACACACAAAGGAATAAATAGATAAAAAAGAAACCCTAAAGAGTTAAATATCTAGAACTGTGTCGTCTAACACAGTATCTGCTAACCTCACTGTATTAGTCCATTCTTGCACTGCTGTAAATTCCTGACACTGGGTAATTTATAAAGAAAAGAGGTTTGTCTAATTGGCTCACAGTTCTGAGGGCTACACAGGAAGCATCATGGCTTCTGCTTCTGGGGAGGCCTCAGGAAGCTTCCAAACATGGTGGAAGGCAAAGGGGGAGTAGGAGCAAGTCGGGGGGGCGGGTGGGGAGTGCTGCACACTTCTAAACGACCAGATCTCATGAGAACTCTCTCACTAACACCAGAACAGCACCCAGGGGATGGTGGTAAACCATTCATGAGAAATCCACCCCCATAATCCAACCACCTCCACCAGGCCCCCCTCCAACATTGGGGATTACATTTCAACATAAGAGATTTTGGCAGGGACACACATCTAAACCATATCACTGATGCAACTATTAAGCATTTGAATTTTGGCTAGTCTGAATTGAGTTGTGCTCTAAGTGTAAAATACACACTGGACATTTTTTAAAAGTAAAATATATCATTAACAGTCTTTTAAATATTGATTATATGTTGCAATAATAATGTTTGGGGTCTATCGGGTTAAAAAGAATATATTATTAAAATTAATTTCACCTGTTTTTTATTTTTTATAATGTGGCTATTAGAATATTTAAAATTTTATATGTGGTTCACATTATCTGCATATTGAATAGCCCTGGCCTAGAAATTTGAGTACTAAACAAAGCCATCAGGGTAGCCAGTGAAAAATCCTAGCAACATGGAGAGACTTACGACAAAAAGGATGCTTCACTATAAAGATATTGAAATAGAGGTATAAAATGGTAAGAAATAGAAAATGCAAAGCTCCTGCTTATGCACTGTTCCTCTCTCCCTTCCTCTCTACAACTTTGCAAATCCCGAGAGACAGATCTAAATCTAGGGCTTCAAGGATCTGCATGAACTATATCAGCAAAACTTAATAAAAATAAAAATAAATAAAACTTGGGCTTTCTGAGTATCTTAATGATTGCACTTATTATGATTACTAGTTTACATCTATCTTGTCCTTTAAATCATTAGCTCCTTAAGGATAGGGTACATGTTTTACTCATCTTTGCACATACTCAACACATAGATGTTCAATAAATACTTGTTAAATTTGAGATACATAAGAAGGACATAGTTGGCCAAGTACTATTTGTTTTGTGTTTTCCTCAGATTTCCAGATCTGGAGTTATAAAACCTCATGGTATCTCCAATTAGTATAATTAATTTTTAAAATTGTCAAAGGAAAAATATTTGTATTTAACCTAAAAAATTTGAATCTATGCCAGACTGTATCTTTAGATGAAGAAAGAAAAAAGGAGACCATAATATCTAACAAGGAATGACCCAGGTCATACTGTCCAAAGTTTTGATAATTTTTAGTTTCATTGCTCAAGGATTATCAATTATGATGTAAAATATTAAATAAACAAATAAATGAATGGAAAATAATATGAATAAAACCCAAGCCAAGTCTGATGTCAGTGGGAGTTCTGAATACAGAACCAATCTGTTCTTGGCAGTTAGCCTGTGTCAGGCTGTTCACTTATTAGTTTGTTTTTACTTGATTTCCTATTTTTAAGAGCAACTTTTAATGAGCATAAGGGCAGATGTTTATGCTGGAGAATAAGTTATAGCAGTGTTGGAAGGAGCAGACATATATACCTCTGGGACATTTGTAACACAGAATATATTATTTCTGACACTTAAGAACCAACCAGCAGGAAGTTGACCTCAGATTTTTATTGGCGTCAACTGCTAATGGAGCTGATAAAGCTGATTTGTGGGAAAAGCGACTGCAATTGAAATGTGTGCAAATGCATTTACATCAGGGGCTTTTTTTTTTTTTTAACCAATGACTTCAACCTAGATTTCATAATTTTCTGCTTTGCTAAGCAATATCATAATCTGTGAACAGCCAAGTTCAAACCAAATGTTTGTTTCTCTCTCACTGATAAAGCATATTGTTTTGGGAAACCAGAATCAAGTAACTTGCCATGAATAGAAGTCATTCTGAGAAATATGTTTTATTTCTTTTTTCACTTCATTTAATTAATGCTGAGTAATTAACAACTGCTATCTAAAATAATTTTGCCATAACTTCAAGCCAATAAATCACACAAATACAGAAAATAATAGTGGAAAACTTCTTTTAAAATGCTAATAATATAAATATTTTAACTCTCTCATTTTCTTGTTTTAGAGGAAAAAAAAGGTACACTTGAAATAGATTTATTATGCCCTGGCAAAATTTAAAAGTAATTGCCATTCAAAACTATCTAATATATCAACATGATTTAAAAGAGTTTTAGTCCTGATATTAATGTGAAATTTCTTCTGTATGGTAAGTACAATTAGTAACACAAGACCAATGGCAGTAAAACCACAATACAACACAGAAGCCATGAAAACCGGCATTACAGCATTGAACCAAAGGAAAAGACAACTAGGGGCCATTTGGCAGACATGTTTGCTTATAAAGAGTTAAAGTACACAATTCCAAAGACTTGGAATGACTTTTTTTCTATTTATTTTTACCATGACCTTTCGGTACACAGAATTCCATCTCAAATTAAATCAGAATCGCCTGTGTCTGATTACATAGTCATTAAATTTTAGCATCCCTTCAGTCTGAAAGTTCTTTATCAGTAGCCCCAACCTCCCCTTCAGTGAGGGATGCTTTCAACACCACCACTGACATTTAGTCATTTGGCTTCTGGGTTCCTTCTTTAAGTGGCCTATTCTATTTGAGAAAGTCTTAATAGTTGGAAAGTACTTGTGGGGAGCAAAATATTCCTGCTATTGCTTAATTCTATCTTATGGGGCTGGAAACTCTAAATCATTGATTTCTGTAATATTATTTTCTTCCGTTTCTCCCATTTTTCAGTCTTCTTTTAAGCTCCTCCTCTTCCTCCTTCGTCCACCCCTTAAGCAACAATATTCCTTGGGGTTCCATCCTTGGCTCACTGCACTTTTCTCTTGACATGTTTTCTTTTAGAGGTGTCATCCTCCCTCATTTTTAAAAATATCACTTCATGACCTTGACTTCCAAATCAATACACAACATTGACATCTATCTTGAGCTGTATGTAGTGTCATGGTTCTCAAACTTCAGTGCTTATTAGAATTACCTGGGGAAGATTTTGATAGTCCTGATGTCCAGATGACACCTTCTACCAGCTTAATAGGAATTTCTGGGGGTGGCTCAGACACCAGAATTTCTTACACCTCCCCAGTTAATTTTAACATGCACCAAAGTTTGAGAACTGGAAGCGGCGTGTTAGTAAAGGTTTAACAAGCAGCTCTCTGCAAGGAGGATGTGGGGAAAAAGTATCTGATTTGTAGCATTTGCTGATTTCACTGGTTTGATATCCCAACCACAATCAACTTCAAGATACCAACTTGATGTCAACCAGCATTCAAAATTCCTGAAATTTAACAATTGCCTCTAGTAGGTTGGTACAAACCAACTCCAGCATACCACTAGAACTGGGGTACCAGCGTATTCAGTTTCCTGATGAATGTATTAGCCAAATTATCCAGTCAGAAATATATGTCGGTAGATTTTATTTGCAAAGACATTCTTATATGTGGGCCTAGTAAATTAAAAATATATAGAGAGAGTAATAGAGTGTGAAATAGATGATAGATAAATGATAGATTGATCAATTGGAAGAAAACACAGACAGGAATGGATTGTGCTGATAAAATGAGTTAGGAAACCAAGAGTTTCATTCACTTGCTATTCCTTTTTGCCCTCTGTGGTGATATATTAAGGATTTCCATAAAAATCAGAAGGCCACATAGAGGGCATTTTCAGAACCACTGCCCTACAGAATAAAACCCAAATTTCTCATCTTCGCATATGCATCCCCTTCATGACCTGGCTCTATGGGCCTTTTCAGCCTCATTTCCTCCATATCTCACCTCACGTTTAACATTATAAGCACAGCCAATAATCCAGTGTTCACATCTTGTATTCTGCTTCCCCTTAAAAAAAAAATAGCCTTCAATGATCCCACCATTCCCCTGAAACAGTCTTAGGTTTAGTAGCAAATTATATAAAGCAGAAATTTTCTTTCAGTCCCAGAAACATCTTTTTCCACTCCCTATTCTCTCTTTAGTGAAGAAGTGAGGTCAGGGCTGATGCTATAGCCATTTAGATAGAAAATAGCCATTTAGATAGAAAATGATGGTTTATTAAAAATGAATGTCTTTTCTAGCTAGGTGCAGCGGCTAACATCTGTAATCCCAGCACTGTGGGAGGCGTAGGAGGGCGGATAACCTGAGGTCAGGAGTTCGAGACTAGCCTGGCTAACATTGTGAAACCCCATCTCTACTAAAATTACAAAAATTAGCCGAGCGTGGTGGTGGGTGCCTGTAATCCCAGCTACTCAGGAGGCTGAGGCAGGAGAATCACTTGAACCCGGGATGTGGAGGTTGCAGTGAGCCAAGATCGCACCACTGCACTCCAGCCTAGGCAATAGAACGAGACTCCATCTCAAAAAAATAAAAAAGAACAAACAAAAATAATGCCTTTTCCAAGGCAATGAGTAGTTCTTTGAGAAATCTTTATACTGTTTTCCATAGAGGTTGTACTAATTTACATTTACCAAAAGTGTATAAGTATTCCTTTTCTCTGCATCCTCATCAGCATTTTTAAATTTTTGTCTTTTTAATAATAGCCATTCTAACTGTATAAGATGGTATCTCGTGTGGTTTTAATTTGCATTCTTGATGATTAGCAATGTTGAGTATTTTTTCATATGCTTGTTAAACATTTGATATCTGCACTTGTATGTTTATCACAGCACTATCCACAATAGCAAAGATGTGGAATCAACCTGTCTATCATGTGATGACTGGCCAATGTTATAGATTGATAGAGACTGAGACAGATATATTTACACACACACACACACACACACACACACAAACGTATATATATATATATATATACGTTTGTGTGTGTGTGTGTGTGTGTACATATATACAGTCAATACTATTCAGGCATAAAAAAGAATGAAATCATGTCTTTTTCAGCAGCATGTATGGCACTGAAGGCCATTATCATAAGTGAAACAACTCAAACAAAAGGCAAATATTACATGTTCTCACTTATAAGTGGGAGCTAAATAATGTATACACATGAACACAGAGTGTGGAATGATAGGCGCTGGAGCTGCAGAAGGGTGGAAGGTAAGAGGGGAGTAAGAGATGAGAAATTACTTAATGGGAACAACATACATTATTTGGGTGGTAGATACACTAAAAGCCCAGACTTCACCACTATTCATGAAACAAAACTGCACTTTTGTCCCTTAAATTTATACAGATAAAAAAATGAATGCCTTGGTACTTATATATTCAAGTTATGCTAAGAGGAGATAGTTTAAAATATTTGGACTGTCGTAAAGAGGAACACAGAAAAGGGCTATATCTATGGGTTCTTAGAGACCATGTTATTACTAAAATCAGAAACTGGCTTAGGAGATCTTGAGGGTTAGAAAGAGGAAAAGGAGACAAAAATTGAGTACCTCAAAGCTTTAGGAATCCTTGATCCTGAAGATCCAAAGTGATTTGGATCATGGGGGATAGAAGCAATCCCCTCACTCCCACAGCCATGTGTCTACACTTGTCTTTATCCATGGCCTTTGTAAATCTAGAGATATATGGGCCCCACTTAAGCCAAAGGAGAGGTATAGGCCTCACATATATTAGAAAGAAAGGGGAAAACGAATAAACTTGATAAGTTTGAGGACCCAATATTCTTAATTTATAAACTAGGCCTGAAAGAAAAGGTAACAAGGAAGATATTTCTTCCTTGCAAGAGCCCATCAAGCCCTAGTCTAAGTCTACATGCCACAGCAGGAGAAGCACAGTTATGGAAATAGAACACCAGAGTCCAGGCATGGATCTGCTGTGTACACACTATGCAATCTTGGCTTTCCTGTCAAAAGAAGTAGTAAGGATAAACACACTATGAAACTTTAAAGAGCTAGACCAGTGTTCCTCAGTCTATTGTTTTTTCATTATTGCTCCCCTCCAGGTCCTTTTTTTAGGTTTTTTTTTTCTTAACTGACCCATCCAAGATATTTCAATATGATCAATATACCGAATATATGTTTACATAGTATATGTATATCTGTGTTTTTATATATATGTATAAAAGCAAGAAACAGTTTTCACTCCTTGGGAACAGTTTTACCCTCATCATTCTCAATGAGCTAAACAGATAGAAGCTGATTTTACTATCATACCTCTGTTACCCAAGCAATACAGGAGATTTGCAAAGCTAATATAAGTAAAATGTTATGAAATTTTAAATAATGCTAAAATGTAACATTAGAACTAAAAGCTTTTCAAAAGCGTTCAGTAAGGTGCAAATACAGAATACTTAAGTTCTAACACAGAAACTAAACTAGGCCATCATTTGAATCCAAAATCTAAAATGTATGTATTTAGAGGCTTTGGTTTGAATAAACATGAAGATTATACTAGCATCTCACTGACAATGGACACAGTTATAGCAAGAGATGAGAAGCAAGGTATAAAGAAAATCAAGCCAAATTCTAATAAGCTGCCCTATTATAAATGCAGCAGACTTCTTTTGCAGGCATTATTTGCATAATAGGTGCCGTAATTTGTGGATGGCACCTCAGATAAAACATAAAATGTCTTTCAACCTTTGCAGTACAGTAGACTAAAAATATAGTGAATGAAATGCTAAGTGAATTACTAAAACTTTATGGCATTTTATAGCTTTGTAAAGTAATTATGCTTCATAACAAGGAAAACTGGGTATAATTTTGAAGAATTGAGGTAGACACCCTCTTACTCGAAATATCTTCCTACATTTTATAACAAATTAGAGATTGACGCAGCATAGTGACAACATTAGCAAACTACAGTTATTTTTTGCTTCCAGGTGGCATACATTGCTTTTTAAATATAAGAGCAGACATTCAAATGAGCTTCAGGGATTGAGCAACACGTAGGTTATTTTCAAATGTCCTCACTAAAATCAGGAGAAATGTTTTTTTCTGGAATTTCAATTATCCAGCTTAGTCTGGATGCTGACCCAGACAAGAAAGGCCATAACGGGGATAGGAGTAGGAGAGACAACTGACACAAAATTATTTCTGAGCAGAATAGGTATATGTCAAGAAAAGCTTACAGGTTAGCCATGATCGTTTGGTTGGAATCAGTGTAAAGATCAAAATCGACAGGCAAATTCTAGTCCACTGGGTTAGAGAATTTAACACAATACAGTACCATAAAATGTGCCGCTGATAGTATTTGAGTCATTCTATTAAATTTTACTCCTGAAATCCCCTTATTTGGCCAGGCGCGGTGGCTTACGCCTGTAATCCCAGCACTTTGGGAGGCAGAGGCGGGTGGATCACGAGGTCAGGAGATGGAGACCATCCTGGCTAACATGGTGAAACCCCATCTCTACTAAAAAATACAAAAAATTAGCCGGGCGTGGTGGCGGGCGCCTGTAATCCCAGCTACTCAGGAGGCTGAGGCAGGAGAATGGCGTGAACCTGGGAGGCAGAGCTTGCAGCGAGCCGAGATTGTGCCACCGCACTCCAGCCTGGGTGACAGAGCGAGACTCCGTCTCAAAAAAAAAAAAAAAAAAGAAAAAAAAAGAAATCCCCTTATTTAACTGGCTACATCCTCTCTAAAATGATCTTTTATTTAAAGGCCTTTCCACATAAAAGGGAACAAAGTACTGATACATGCTACGACATGGATAAGCCTTGAAGCCTTGAAAACATGCTAAGTGAGAAAAGCCAGACACAGACACAAAAGGCCACATGTTGAATTCCATTTATATGAAACATCCATACTAGGTAAACCCATAGAAACAGAAAGCAGATTAGTGATCGCAGAGGACAGGAGCCAGCAGGAAATGACGAGTGACTGCTTAATGGGCATGGTGTTTCCTTTGGGGTGATAAAAATATTCTAGAACTAGATAGTGGTGACAGTTGCACAACAATGTGAATGTACTAAATGCCACTGAACTATACACTTTAGAATGGTTTAAACAGTGAATTTTATGGTATGTGTATTTTACCACAGATGCAAAAGAGGCCTTTCTAATTTGTCTGGTTTGACTCATACAAAAATTTCTTCCAGATCTAGATCTTGTCAGTCCCTGAAGCTTTGCAATTTGGAGAGGCTTCTAAGAAAAATAATTCAGAATAGCAAATACAAAATGCCTGTTGCTTCTCCAGGCAAAACTTATGCAAGTGAAGGGCCCTGAGGCTCGTCTTTCCATGGCTTCATGACAGACACCTCTCAGTTCCTTCCCCAAGAACTGCAGAGAGGAGAGTCCCATTATCTGGCCTAAGTTCCCAGTTAATACTTGCTCATCTTCCCAGAGGTGATTTGGAAGGTCACCATTTTCTACAGCATTGAATCAATTTTGAAAGACTTCCCCTATTATCCAGGATGAGGAGCCGAAGGCCTGACACTGCTTTCCCAGGTTGAGTGTGCATGCTTCCAGGTATATTGAACCCTAACCTATGCTTAAACTGCTAATCTTGGGAGCTATCGGGCATGGATACATTGCTATATCATCAGTTGCTAAGTCATAACAAGGGTCACTATAGTGTGAAGATAGAAAAAAAAAGGTTGGGTAAGTCAAAGTAAGAATGTATTAAGATGAATATGAGAAATAAATGTATCAGACTGAGTTACTGGAAACAACTCGGGTCAAGGAGTCATTCAGAGGAAACACAAGCTGCACATCCTTTACTACTCCAAGAGCATGAAGCAAGGACAGTTGAGACACAGGGCCCCAGCCAAGCAGAAAAGAGAGCTGAGCCTCGCAGGCCCACTTCTGGCTGCCATGATTACAAATGGAACTCTTCATATATTTAAGACACTACATGAGAAAAGCTATAGAAAAATAAACAGTGGATAAGACTGGAGCAACGCTAGTTATCTTTGCCTTAAAGTAAGCTTTTGGCAGGAGGAGGGCTATATGTAGAAAAGGACAAAATCGAGGGTTATAAATAAAGATGTTTGTATAATTTCACCTTTTCAGAACATCTTAGATTCTACCTACAGTCTTTTGTGTGTCCTTCTCACACAGTGAGACTAAATTGGAGTCATTGACCATGTCCATTTTCTAATCTGCCTCACCTGATAGCTATTTCTGCACAAGAGGATACCTCCTGTCTGCGTTCCATCAATATCTATTGGGGAAGACTACATCCAGGGTCCTGTTCTATAGACTGAATAAAACAGACAAAACATCCCTGCTTTCATGGAGCTTACATCCTAGGGGTAGAAAAGAAACCATAAATTGGTAAGTTATGAGAAAGTTATAAGTGTAGCGGGGTAGGGGGACTAGGGTAAAGGGAAGGAGAAGTGCTTTCACAAGGCAGGGGTAGCAAGGGAAGAGTATTCCATTTGACATAGGTTCAGGTTAGGCCTCATTGCCACCAAAGATTATTAGATAGATAAACTAGAGAAACAATGAAGTTAAGTACCTAAGTGCCATTTCAGTCTATATTCCCTAACCAATTTTATTCTTACAAATTTCCCTTTCCATACCTATCACATCAGTCAGGTCTAACTCATTCCTTTCCTTTACATATTGTGTTTATTTCTACTCTATGCTTTTGCTCACATTGTTTCTCAACTCCCTGAATCTCCAGCTTGATGACCTTCCTACCCCTCACATGTATTAGCGTGAAGGATATTTTTTCTTCCTCATGAGCTCAGATTCCACTCCCAGCTTAGATTCCATATTTGATCAATATGTTCATTCTTCCATATAACCTCAAATCTGTGTTTCTTTCTCCTCCACTGCACCTACACCTGTAAAGCTGACCTAGTCTGGCAAAAAATATATGACTGTGACAACTGGTTGCGCATTAAATTCATAATTACCAACTTCTGATGGATCCTTAGTGCACCTCCAAAATCTTAAATTTCCCAAAGCTATTCACTCTTTCCTTCTCCTAGGTGACATTTAGTACTTCTCCTTTCTTCTCTAACACCTAGCACCTTCTCCCCTACTTCATGCTTAGCCAATTACCCTGGTATACATAATCAGAAGAGAACTTCCAACAAACCTCCATAAGCAACCTACATCTTTATTCATATACTGTTACCGCCCATGCCCCTCTTTCAGTAAACTCTTGCTCTATTGCCATTTTTATGCCTTATTCTACAGTCAATATTTTTAGCATACTATTTGAATTCCCTTTTGGATTTTTTATATTATTTTGTATTATTTTCTTAGTGTTTTTTAGGGATTACAATGTGCATCTTAATTTACCACAATCTATTTCAGAATACTAATGTAATTCCAATAAAAATTATAAACTTTTCTCTTTTATAGCTTTTTTCCTCCCAAACTTTTCATTATTATTATCATACATAATATACATTTATATGTTGTAACCCAAAAAATACAATGTTATAATTACTGCTTTATACAATTTTATTTTCTCTTAAAGAAGTTTAAAGATGAAATGAGAAAAAATATAGATCCCTTTGTTTGCTGCACATTTACCATTTCCAGTACACTTGTTTCTTCCTGAGGACTTAAGTTGCCAGCCTGAAAGAATTCCTTTAATATTTCTACTAACAAGAAATTCTCAGTCTTTATTTATCTATAATGTCTTTATTTCACTTTCATTTTGAAAAATAGTTTTTGCTGGGCATAAAATTCTGATTGACAATCAGAATTTTTTTTGGTTTGGTTTTTTCAGCAATGTGAATACAAGTTGACTATCCCTAATCTAAAAATCCAAGGGCTAGGCACGGTGCCTCATGCTTGTAATCCCAGCACTTTGGGAGGCCAAGACAGGAAGATCATTTGAGGACAGGAGTTCAAGACCAGCCTGGCCAACCTGGTGAAACCCCATCTCTACTAAACAATATAAAAATTAGCCAAGTGTGGTGGTGGGTACCTGTAATCCTAGCTGCTTAGAAGGGTGGGGCAGAAGGGTCACTTGAACCAGGGGGGCAGAAGTTGCAGTGAGCCAAGATTGTGCCACTGCACTCCAACCTGGGCAACAGAGTGAGACTCTGTCTCAATTAAATAATAAATAAATAAATAAAAATCCAAAATCTGAAATGCTTCAAAATCTGAAACTTATTTTGGATTCTGGTTTTTGGATTAGGGATGCTGAACAGTAAGTCTAATGAAAATATTCCAAAGTTCAAAAAATCCAAAATTTGAAATAGTTCAGATCCCAAACATGTCGGATAAGGGATATTCAACTTGTATCTTATTCCAGTGCTGACTGGCTTCCATTATCTCTAATGAGAAGTTAGCTATTAGTAATATTTGTTCCCTATATTTGAAGAGTTGGCTTTCTCTTGCTGCTTTCAAGTTTTTTTCTTTGGATTTAGCTTTCAACAGTGACTATTGTATGTCTAGTTGTAGATAATTTTGTGTTTATTCTAACTGGGGTTCATTAAACTTCTTGGATTTGTAAAGTTATATTCTTCATACGATTTGAAAAGTTTTTAGCCACTTTTTCTTCAAAAAGTTCTAGGGGCCTTTATTTGCTCTCCTCGGTGCATTACACATGTGTCTGTATAGTTCATATTATCCTATACATCTCGAACAGTATGTTTATTTCACTTCAATCCTTTTTCATTCTATTCTTCAGTTTAGATAATCTCTGTCTATCTTCACATTTATTGACTATTTCTTCTAACATCTCAGTTTCTGTTGAAGCCCTCTGGTGCATTTTTTATTTGTCTTTGTACATTTCAACTACAGAATTTCCATTTGATTCTCTATTTTTAAAATAATTTCTAACTCTTCACTGGGGTTTTATATTCACTAAGTGGTTGCCATCACAATTTTCTTTAGTTATTTGGACATACTTATAACAGCTGCTTTTGACTGTTTGTATGCTATATCTAATATCTGAGGACACTCAGAGATAATTTCTACTGACGACTTCTATAGTCTAAATATGTATCACAGGTTGTTTCTTTGCAGGTCTCATACTTTTTTTGTTGAGTACTGGCCTTTTTATATGATATATTGTAGCAACTCTGGATTCTATTTTCCACCTCACGGTTGTTGTTTTCTTCCATTTGTTTAGTAAACTTGCCTAAATTTATGACGTCTGTCTCCTCCAGAATGTGCAGCTACCAATATCTTTGTTCAGTTGTTGTTTTATTTTTAAGCTTGCCTTCCTGTAGGTCATTCCTGTATTTGTATAGCTTATCATTCAGCAAAGAAAAAAAAATCAGAGCTTTCACTCCAACACCTCAAGCCAATAAGCCTTCCATTTTCTGCTGATGGATCTGTGTATGAATGTGAAGCACATTAAACTTTACATAATTTTTCACTCTTTCCCTGCTTTTAACTCCTCACCAAGTTCTCTGATATCTCCTCTACACCTGTGTGCAGGTTCTGTCAGCTGGGGAGAGGTGAGTGACCTGGGACTTCTGTAAGCTCTGCTGTGCGTGTGCACAGCCTCAATCCTTAAGATCTGCTTGAGTTCTAAATATATGGGAAAGTTGTGTGCTATTTTTAAAAAGCCGAATGTTCTTGTTTGCTATTAAGAGAAATTAAGTGTAATTTGATTTCTCTTGGACTTCACACCCCCTCCCCCATTGTACTTATTTTCTGGTAGATAATGAGGGTTATTATAAAGCAAGGGCATTTCCCAACAAGGCACCACCAAAACTGTATATATTTTAATATACCTAACATGAACTTCTACTAATGCATTTGTTATTGCATTTTTATTGTTATTATTCTGTGCTAAGGATAAATAAGTAAATAATACCTGCAGGCTGTTCAATGTCATGAAAAAAGATTGTGTTTTTTAATAGCCATGCTAGAAAGAAGTAGCAGGTAAAAAAAATCTAAACAGGTTTGACTTCATAGGAAGGTACAAAGCAAACCGTAGCTCTACGTGATTATTTTCCAATTACTGCACTAAGGAAAAAAAGGCCATCAATTGACAATAGGTAAATGAGTAGGTGTCCTTTCACTGAAAAATATTCTTACAAACTTATGCTATAAATGTAGATTTCAGCCAAAATTAACAAAAAGGCTACTCCTCTTTCCTTTGTTACTGAATATCTTCTCTTTACTCCTTAAGGAATCTATTTATTCAACAAACATTCATCAAGCACCTGGCAGGGGCAAAACACTCTGCTATAAATATTCTTGATATATAGAGCATATGAGTCAGCATCTGTCCTAACAGGCCTTACAGTTGAGCAAGGGAGAGGCATGAGTAAACCTAAAATGAGGGTGCACTGTGCTCAGTGCTATGAGAAAGAAATGTTACCTGGAAGGATCAAAGAACACTTTCCAGAAGAGGCAGCCTGAATGAATCCTGAGGCATAAACAGGAATTGGCCCAGCCTTTGAAGAAGGGACATAGTGTTCTGGGTACAGGCAAAATTGTGGCATTAGTGGGGGAACAGTAAGTAGTTTACTAGCTGCAGTATGGGATTTGGAAGGAGTTGTGAAAAAGAAAGTTAAAAATGAAGGCAGATTCATATCATAAAGTACCTTATATCCCAAGCCAAATGTTTGGCATCATTTCCACTCTGGAAATCTCTGCTAGATTTTAGAAAGGAGAGTGACATTTGGTGCCCTGCCTGCCCCAACCCTGTGCCTTGAGGATCTAGTTGGGGATATCTTCTTCATTAATTCAACATGTTGTGAAGATACTCAGAAAAAAAACTAGCCACAGACTTTGCTAATTCTCAGAAAACAGGGTGAAGGGAAGTACATTAATAGGCAGTATGAGTCTGGTAGGGACCTTGAATTATCTTCATGTTTAGAGGTTAAAGGTACTTGTTTGAAATTTAATTATCAATTAATCATTCCAGAATTGTCTGTTCTCTAAGAACCAGTGTCAGTCAATAAACGTAATAATCTGCACTCTCTTTTTTTCCATTTTAGCTGTTTTCAGCTTAACCTTTAGGCAGGTCATAGCTGCTTTTACTTGACATTTATTAACCTTTTATATAGTAATTATTACTAGGAATACAGAGCAGCCTGGTTGTGACTGCATGTTTATTCATTTCATTTGAACAAAATTTGCACTTATTCTTCATAATGATGCACTAAAAACTCACTGCTTCTTAATCTGACTAGTCTATTTATTGGAAAAATGATTCCATCAATATATACTTAAAATGCTATTAATTTAATCTTACATTCTTTTCTCTGAGGTTTAATACTAAGATAGTTATGACTTTTCACATTAATTTGATTCATCATTCGAGTGATATTTGAGTTCAGCTAAAATAAAATCACCATATTAGTAATCTTTCCTTGATGAAAGTTGTGTGTGATATAAATTTCTGTGTTACTTCTTTTTTTATAGATTAAGAATAAACACTATCAAGAATTTGGAAAAAGATTGTTTAAAAATTATATCTTTAAAAGAATATTATCCCTGATTTTTAAAATTTCAAAATAATACTCATTTTTTATTTTATTTATTTATTTTTATTATTATTATTTTGAGATGGAATCTCGCTCTTTTGCTCAGGCTGGAGTGCAGTGGCATGTTCTTGGCTCACAGCAACCTCCGCCTCCCGGGTTCAAAAGATTCTCCTGCCTCAGCCTCCTGAGCAGCTGGGATTACAGACATGCGCCACCACGCCCAGCTAAATTTTTTTTGTATTTTTCGTAGAAATGGGATTTCACCATGTTGGTCAGGCTGGTCTCCAACTCCTGACCTCGTGACCCACCCGCCTCAGCCTCCCAACGTGCTGGGATTACAGGCATGAGCCATCACGCCCAGCCAATACTCAAAATATTTTTATGCAGAACTGCTGTGATTTAGTTAGGAAAAAACCCAAATATCACTACAGAAATCGTTATTAGGGACAAGATGTTTGGCCCAGCGTGGTAACATGACTCGAAAATGATGTAATTGCCAAATATTTTTACGTCTACTTCAGAAAAGTCTCCTAAACTCAAGATTCTTCTTGGTGCTACTGCCACGGTCACAGTGTAAACTCTCCTCAGGTTTCATGAGTGATAATCTTATTAATGTCTCTGCTTCCAGCTGCTTCATCTCCCTCAGAAACAAAGGTGATGATTCCACTTCCCTGCTTTACAATCTCTGCTGGCTCCTTATTCATCTCTGGGAAATGCAAAAGCACCATACCCTGGTGTATAGACCTGCAAGCCATAACCAACCTGTCATATAAACTCTACTCCAAAGTTTTCAAAGTCAAGGCCAGTTTTCTATTTGTCTTTTTACCTGAACCAGATGGCCCAGTGCAGAAACACAGTAAGGACTTGTATTAGTCATTGCTATAACAAATTACCACAAACTTAGTGACTTAAAACAACAGATATGTCTTCACTCACAGTTCTGACACCAGGAATCCAAAATTAATTTCACTGCGGTGAAACCAAAGATGGCTTATGGCACACTCATTCCAGAGGCTGTCGGTGAGAATCCATATCTTGCCTCTTCAGTTTCTGGTGGCTGCCAGCATTCCTTACGTGTGGATGCATCACTCCAATCTCTATCTCTGTGGTCACATTGCTATCTCTTCTTCAGTCTGGGTAATCTCTCTGTCTCTCCCTTACAAGGATCCTTGTAATAGCATTCAGAGGGCACCCAGATAATCCAAAATATAGTCTCCCCATCTCAAGATTTTTAACTTAATCACAACTGCAAACACAGATAAAACATTGACAAGTTCCAGGGTTTAGGAGCTGATATCTTTGAAGACCATTGTTCAGCCTACTACATGCCTCAATACATGTTTTGGATAAATTCAGTAACATCTTTGGCCTTAAGCTGGTTCACATATTCAATAAACTTGTCATTGAAGGTAATTGGAAGGATATACACTAAACTCTTAACAGATCATCTGTGGTGAGTGGAATACAGATGAGGAGGAAAGGAGAGATCACGACATCAGTACTTACTGCTTTATATATACTTCTGCATATTGTAATCATTTATAATGTGTTTTTGCATTATGAAAAATAACTAAGCAATAGCAGCTTTATTCATAATTTCCAAAACTTGGAAGCAGTAAAATATACTTCAGTAGGTGAATAAACTGTGGTACATCCAGATAATAGAATGGAAAAGGAAATGACCTATTGAGACGTGAAAAAAATAGAGGAACCGTAAATACATATTACTAAATGAAAGAAGCCCATTTCAAAAAGCTACATACTGTATGACTTCAACGATATGACTTTTGGAAGAAGGCAAAACTATGGAGATGATGAAAAGATCATTGATTGCCAGAGGAGAGCAGGGAGGAATGGATGAATAGGCAGAGCACAGAGAATTTTGAGGGCAGAGAAAATATTCTGCATGAATGGTGCATATATGTCATTCTGTATTTGTCCAAACACATAGAATGTACAACACCAAGAGTAAGCATGAATGTAAGATATGGATTTGGGAGTTATAAAAATGTGTCAGTGTAGCCTCATCAATTGTAACCCATGTACCGCTCTGAGGTGGGATGTTGATATTGAGGAAGGCTGTACATGTGTGGGGACAGGAGGTATATGGGAACTCTGTACTTCCCACTCTATTTTGCTGTGAACATAAAATTCCTCTGAAAAATAAAATCTACTAAAAAATAACTAAGCAAACAGGTACATGCCTTGAATACATAAAAATTAGTTATACAAAATAATCTGAGGGGCACATAAATAAGTCCAACCTAAAAACAAATGATTCAGTGCATTGTAATATATGTAATGAGGAAACTGCTTACACGATACAGTGGAATTAAATCTTGGTACTCAAGAGATAGATCCAGAAAGGACATAGAGATTTGGAACTCATAAGCAACAGGAGATGGTTGGAGTTATGAAAATCATACGAACAATTTAAAAAATCGTTGGAGACTGATGTTTCAGCCCAAGTGTTTCTGGTCTTTGAAGAAATTTACAACATAGTTGGACAGACAGATACCATATTCCAATAATGTGGTAAACACTAATATTAAAATATTCACAAAGTATTTTTTCAGTAATAGAAACATTTAGCCCAAGTTCATTGAAGTTCTGTCAAGCTTATAAAAAGCTTTCTGAAAAAAAAAAAAAAAAAAAAAAAAAAAACAAATCATGATCTCAACGATTAAATAAGAATTGTCCACATAAATTAGAGGAAGATTTGGAGAAAGAGTGTATTAAGCGGAGGAAGAGTTCAGCAAATAAGGACAGACGTGTGGGTGGGAACTAGGACTACACACATGGCTTAGTACTTCACTGAAGGAAGAATTAAGTGCTTGGTTTCAGGTAGCAATACATGAGGTTAAATAGTATGTAAGGCAAGCAAGGGAGACCATATTTTACTCTGTATGTGATGAGGTGGTTGGAAGATCTATCTTACTGAAAGATGCCATGTAGACCAAAAGCAGAATAGGATTATGACCAGAATAGGTAAAACCCAACATTAATCTTAAAATTATCCACAGAGTACACAAATTTCATAGAATGGCTAGCACAGGTTGACCACTTATGATCTAAAGTTATTGCTTTTTAACAGAGAATTTAGTTCCTGATTCCAACTCTGCTAACTAGCTGTGATAATTTCATAGTTCTCAGTTCTTTTATCTCTAAAATAAAACAGGTGTTAAATGATTTTTATGTCTCCTGAAATCCAAAATGCCAATTCAATGATTATTGCCTCCATTTTCTCTTATATTGTACAGTAATTAATACTATATTATAGTAGTTGGATACAATTTTAGCTGATTTAACAACTGAAAAAAAAATGAAATCATTGAGATTGTGGGAAAAGATGCTATCTAAATTTTAAATAGGCTATATCATCAAATATTTATGTACAATGCCTCCATTCTTTTTTTTTTTTATCGCTCACAAGTGCATGTTTAATGAAAGGCAAGACAGTGAGGGTGAGGCCATGGGGGGTGACCCAGAACAGAATAATGGCTCGGTGGGCCTCAGGGACTTGACTTAGGTGCATCTAGAAAGCTGTCCACAGAAGACGGCCAGGCAAGTCTCAATGGCCCTGTCTTAGTACAGCCAACATGGACACATCAGATGCTGTATTAGTTTTCTGGGGCTGCCATAACAAAGTACCACAAACTGAGTGGCTTAAAACAACAGGATTTGGCCGGGCGCAGTGGCTAAGGCCTGTAATCCTAGCACTTTGGGAGGCCGAGGCAGCCGGATCACGAGGTCAGGAGATCGAGACCATCCTGGCTAACACGGTGAAACCCCATCTCTACTAAAAATAATAATAAAAAAAATCAGCTGGGCATGGTGGCGGGCCCTTGTAGTGCCAGCTACATGGGAGGCTGAGGCAGGGGAATCGCTTGAACCCAGGAGGCAGAGGTTGCAGTGAGCAGAGATTGTGCCACTGCACTCCAGCCTGGGCGACAGAGTGAGACTCCATCTCAAAAAAAAAACAAACAAACAAACAAAAAAAAACAACAGATTTTATGCCCTCCCAGTTCTGGAAGTCAGAAATGTAAAATCAAAAGGTGTTGCCAGAGCCATCCTCCGTCTGAAGGCTCCAGGGTAGGATCCTTCCTCGTCTCTTCCAGCTTCTTGTGGCTGCTGGCATCCTCAGTGTTCCTTGACTCCTAGCAGCATCACTCCAGTTTCTGCCTCTGTCTTCACATGGACGTCTCTGTATGTCTGCGTCTGTCTGTCTGAAGTTCCCTCTTCTTATAAGGATACCAGTCATATTGGATTTAACACCCACCCTAATCCAGGATGGTCTCATCCTGACTTGATTACATCTATAAAAACCTTGTTTCCCCAGAAGGTCACAGTTACAAGTTCTGGGTGGATATACATTTTGGGGGATAATATTCAATCTTGTCTAGACTCCAAATGCACCCTGTGCCAGGGAAAAGTGGGGGCTCTTTTTTAAAGACAGTTTGCTTTCTTAAACTCAGAATATTACACCCCTTCCACAGTTTAGCAAGGGCTCTAGGCAGATGGGAAGGGTGATGGTCTTGCTGTCTCCCCTCAGGCTCCTCACACAGTCAGGTCTCTCAGAAGTCCAAATGCGTAAGCCCCCCTCAACCCAGGAAATTAGAGTTCTCACCACTTTTTAAAGATCTCCAGGAAAGGGATACACAACTTATATTCTTAGTGGACAGGAGAAGTTCCAAATTTCAAATAGGATTGATCAAATCAAACCCCTGTCTGAGCTGTGTCAGCTGAGTAGGGCATAAAAACATCTGCTCTGAATTTTAGCTCTGAAGATAAATTTAAAGCTTGGACTGATGACTCCCCTTTTTCACTGTTTTTATTACTATTATTATTATTGGACTTTAAGTTCTGGGATACATGTGCAGAACATGCAAGTTATATAGGTATACATGTGCCATGGTGGTTTGCTGCACCCATCAGTCCGTCATCTACATTAGGTATTTTCCTTAATGCTATCCCTCCCCTTGCCCCCCAACCACCAACAGGCCCTGGTGCATGATGTTCCCCTCCCTGTGCTCATATGTCCTCATTGTTCAACTCCCACTCACGAGTGAGAACATGCGGGTTTGGTTTTCTGTTCCTGTGTTAGTTTGCTAAGAATGATGGTTTCCAGACTCATCCTTGTCCCTGCACAGGACAAGAACTCATCCTTTTTTTATGGCTGCATAGTATTCCATGGTGTATATGTACCACATTTTCTTTATCCAATCTAACATTTGTGGGCATTTGGGTTGGTTCCAAGTCTTTGCTATTGTGATCAGTGAAGCAAGCAACATATGTGTGCATGTGTCTTTATAGTAAAATGATTTACAATCCTTTGGGTATATACCCAGTATTAGGATTGCTGGGTCAAATGGCATTTCTAGTTCTAGATCCTTGAGGAATCGCCACAGTGTCTTCCACAAGGCTAAACTAATTTACCCTCCCACCAACAGTGTAAAAGTGTCCTATTTCTCCACATCCTCTCCAATATCTGTTGTTTCCTGACTTTTTAATGATCATCATTCTAACTGGTGTAAGGTGGTATCTCATTGTGGTTTTGATTTGTATTTCTTTAATGACCAGTGATGAGCTTTTTTTCATATGCTTGTTGGCTGCATAAACGTCTTCTTTTGAAAAGTATCTCTTCATATCCTTTGCCTACTTTTGGATGGGGTTGTTGGTTTTTTTCTTGTAAATTTGTTTAAGTTCCTTATGGATTCAGGATATTAGCCCTTTGTCAGATGGACAGATTGCAAAATTTTTCTCTCATTCTGTAGGCTGCCTGTTCACTCTGACGATAGTTTCTTTTGCTGTACAGAAGCTCTTTAGTTTAATTAGACCCCATTTGTCCATTTTGGCTTTTGTTACAATTGCTTTTGGTGTTTCAGTCATGAAGTCTTTGCCCATGCCTATGTCCTGAATGGTATTGCCGAGGTTTTCTTCTAGGGTTTTCATGGTTTTAGGTCTTATGTTTAAATGTTTAATTCATTTTGAGTTGATTTTTGTATAAGATTTAAGGAAGGGGTCCAGTTTCAGTTTTCTGCATATGACTAGCCAGTTTTCCCAACACCATTTATTAAATAAGGAATCCTTTCCCCATTGCTTGTTTTTGGCAGGTTTGTCAAAGATCAGATGGTTGTAGATGTGTGGTGGTATTTCTGAGGCCTCTGTTCTGTTCCATTGGTCTATGTATGTGTTTTGGTACCAGTACCATGCTGTTTTGGTTACTGTAGCCTTGTAGATTAATTTGAAGTCAGGTAGTGTGATGCCTCCAGCTTTGTTCTTTTGGCTTAGGATTGTCTTGTCTATATGGGCTCTTTTTTGGTTCCATATGAAATTTAAAGTAGGTTTTTCTAATTCTGTGAAGAAAGTCAATGGTAGCTTGATGGGAATAGCATCAAATTTATAAATTAATTTGGGCAGTATGGCCATTTTCACAATATTGATTATTCCCGTGCATGAGCATGGAATGTTTTTCCATTTGTTTGCGTCCTCTCTTATTTCCTTGAGCAGTGGTTTGTAGTTCTCCTTGAAGAAGTCCTTCACATCCCTTGTAAGTTGTATTGATAGGAATTTTACTCTGTTTGTACCAATTGTAAATGTGAGTTTGCTCATAGTTTGGCTCTGTTTGTCTATTATTGGTGTATAGGAATGCTTGTGATTTTTACACATTGATTTTGTATCCTGAGATTTTGCTGAAGTTGCTTATCAGCTTAAGGAGATTTTGGGCTGAGACAATGGGGTTTTCTAAATATACAATCATGTCATCTCAAACAGGCAATTTGAATTCTCTCTTCCTATTTGAATACCCTTTATTTCGTTCTCTTGCCTGATTCCCCTGGCCAGAACTTCCAATAGTATGTAGAAATGGAATGGTGAAAGAGAGCATCCTTGTCTTGTGCCGGTTTTCAAAGGGAATGCTACCAGCTTTTGCCCATTCAGTATGATTGGCCATGGGTTTGTCATAAATAGCTCTTATTATTTTGAGATATGTTCCATCAATACCTAGTTTATTGAGTGTTTTTAGCATGAAGGGGTGTTGAATTTTAATGAAGGCCTTTTCTGCATCTATTGAGATAATCATGTGGTTTTTTTCATTGGTTCTGTTTATGTGATGGATTATGTTTATTGATTTGCGTATGTTGAACCAGCCTTGCCTCCCAGGGATGAAGCTGACTTGATGGTCGTGGATAAGCTTTTTAATGTGCTGCTGGATTTAGTTTGCTAGTATTTTATGGAGGATTTTTGCATCGATGTTCATCAGGGATATTGGCCTGAAATGATCTTTTTTTGCTGTGTCTCTGCCAGGCTTAGGTATCAGGATGATGCTGGCCTCATAAAATGAGTTAGGGTGGAAACCCTCTTCTTCTATTGTTTAGAATAGGTTAAGAAGATGGTACCAGCTCCTCTTTGTACCTCTGGTAGAATTCGGCCGTGAATTTGTCTGGTCCTGGGTACTTTTTTGTCAGTAGGCTATTAATTACTGCCTCAGTTTCAGAACTTGTTATTGGTCTATTCAGGGATTTGACTTCTTCCTGGTTTAGTCTTGGGAGGCTGTATGTGTCCAGGAATTTATCCATTCCTTCTAGATTTTCTAGTTTATTTGTGCAGAGGTATTTATAGTATTCTCTGATGGTAGTTTGTATTTCTGTGGGATCAGTGGTGATTTCCCCTCTATCACTTTTTATTGTGTCTATTTGATTCTTCTCTCTCTTGTTCTTAGTCTGGCTTGTGTTCTATTTTGTTAATGTTTTCAAAAAACCAGCTCCTGGATTCATTGATGTTTTGAAGGGTTTTTCATGCTGTATCTCCTTCAAGTTCTGCTCTGATCTTAGTTATTTCTTGTCTTCTGCTAGCTTTTGAATATATTTGCTCTTGCTTCTCTAGTTCTTTTAATTCTGATGTTAGGGTGTCGATTTTAGATCCTTCCTGCTTTCTCCTGTGGGCATTTAGTGCTATAAATTTCCCTCTAAACACTTCTTTAGCTGTGTCCCAGAGATTCTGGTACAGTGTGTCTTTATTCTCATTGGTTTCAAATAACTTATTTATTTCTGCCTTAATTTTGTTATTTACCCAGTAGTCATTCAGGAGGTTGTTCAGTTTCCATGTGGTTGTGTGGTTTTGAGTGAATTTCTTAATCCTGAGTTCTAATTTGATTGCACTGTGGTCTGAAAGACTGTTTGTTATTATTTCCATTCTTTTGCATTTACTGAGGAGTATTTTACTTCCAATTATGTGGTCAATTTTAGAATAAGTGCTATGTGGTGCTGAGAAGAATGTATATTGTGTTGATTTAGGGTGGAGAGTTCTGTAGATATCTGTTAGGTCCGCTTGTTCCAGAGCTGAGTTCACGTTCTGAATATCCTTGTTAATTTTCTGTCTCATTGATCTGTCTAATATTGACAGTGGG
The DNA here is from genome assembly GCF_000001405.40 of Homo sapiens. Classification (NCBI taxonomy): domain Eukaryota; kingdom Metazoa; phylum Chordata; class Mammalia; order Primates; family Hominidae; genus Homo; species Homo sapiens. The sequence continues at coordinate 63,890,162 of NC_000006.12, read as the reverse complement.
CTATTATTGTGTGGGAAACTAAGTATCTTTGTAGGTCTCTAGGAACTTGCTTTATGAATCTGGGTGCTCCTGTATTGGGTGCATATATATTTAGGATAGTTAGCTCTTCTTGTTTCATTGTTTCCTTTACCATTATGTAATGCCCTTTGTCTTTTTTGATCTTTGTTGGTTTAAAGTCTGTTTTATCAGAGACTAGGATTGTAACCCCTGCTTTTTTTTTCATCTGCTTGGTAAATCTTCCTCCATCCTTTTATTTTGAGCCTATGTGTGACTTTGTACGTGAGATGGGTCTCCTGAATACAGCAGACTGAGAAGTCTTGACTCTTAATCCAATTTGCAAGTCTGTGCCTTTTAATTGGGGCATTTAGCCCATTTTCAGTTAAGGTTAATATTGTTATGTATTAATTTGATCCTGTCACTATGATGCTAGCTAGTTATTTTGCCCATTAGTTGATGCAGTTTCTTCATAGTGTTGATGGTCTTTACATTTTGGTTTGTTTCTGCTGTGGCTCGTACCAGTTTTTCCTTTCTATATTTAATGCTTTCTTCAGGAGCTCTTGTAAGGCAGGCCTAGTGGTGACAAAATCCTTCAGCATTTGCTTGTCTGTAAAGGATTTTATTTCTCCTTCACTTATGAAGCATAGTTTGGCTGGATATGAAATTCTAGGTTGAAAATTCTTTTCTTTAAGAATGTTGAATATTGACACCCACTCTTCTGGTTTCTAGGGTTTCTGCAGAGATCAGCTGTTAGTCTAATGGGCTCTCCTTTGTGGCTTCCCCGACCTTTCTCTCTGGCTCCCCTTAACATCTTTTCCCTTATTTCTACCTTGGTGAATCTGACGATTATGTGTCTTGGGGTTGCTCTTCTTTGTGGTGTTCTCTGTATTTCCTGAATTTGAATGTTGGCCTGTCTTGCTAGGTTGGGGAAGTTCTGGATAATATTCTGAAGTGTGTTTTCCAACTTGGTTCCCTTCTCCCCATAACTTTCAGGTACACCAATCAATGTAGGTTTGGTCTTTTCACATAGTCCCATATTTCTTGGAGGCCTTGTTTATTCCTTTCCATTCTTTTTTCTCTAATCTTTTCTTCACACTTTATCTCATTAAACTGATCTTCAATCTCTGATATCCTTTCTTCCACTTGATCAATTCGGCTATTCATACTTGTGTATGCTTCATGAAGTTTACGTGCTATGTTTTTCAGCTCCATCAGGTCATTTATGTTCTTCTCTAAACTGGTTACCCTAGTTTGAAATTTCTCTAACCTTTTATCAAGGTTCTTAGCTTTCTTTCATTGGATTAGAACATGCTCCTTTAGCTCAGAGGAGTTTGTTATTACCCACCTTCTGAAGCCTACTTCTGTCAATCCGTCAAACTCATTCTCCATCCAGTTTTGTGCCCTTGCTTACACGAAGTTGTGATCCTTTGGGGGAGAAGAGGCATTCTGGTTTTTGGAATTTTTAGCCTTTTTACGCTGGTTTACCACATCTTCATGGATTTATCACCTTTGGTCTTTGCTGTTGATGACCTTTGGATGGAGTTTTTGCATGGTCATCCTTTTTGTTGATCTTGATGCTGTTGCTTTCTGTTTGTTAGTTTTCCTTCTACCAGTCTGACCTCTCTTCAGCAGGTCTGCTGGAGTTTGCTGGGGGTCCACTCCAGACCTTGTTTCCCTGGGTATCGCCAATGGAGGCTGCAGAACAGCAAAGATTGCTGCCTGATCCTTCCTCTGGAAGCTTCGCCCCAGAGGGGCACCTGCCAGATGCCAGACAGAGCTCTCCTGTATGAGGTGTGTGTCAACCCCTGCTGGGAGGTGTCTCCCCTTCAGGAGGCACAGGGGTCAAGGACCCATTTGAGGAGGCAGTCTGTCCCTTAGCAGAGCTTGAGCACTGTGCTGGGAGATCTGCTACTCTCTTCAGAGCTGGCAGGCAGGAATGTATAAGTCTGCTGAAGCTGCGCCCACAGCTGCCCCTTCCCCCAGTGCTCTGTCCCAGGGAGATGGGAGTTTTGTCTATAAGCTCCTGACTGGGGCTGCTGCCTTTCTTTCAGAGATGCCCTTCCCAGAGAGGCAGTATCTAGAGAGGCAGTCTGACTACAGTTTCTTTGAGGCACTGCAGTGGGTTCCACCCAGTTTGAACTTCCAGGAAGCTTTGTTTACACTGTGAGGGGAAAACTCAAGCTTCAGTAATGGCAAATGCCCCTCCCCCCACCAAGCTCTAGCATCCGAGGTCAACTTCAGACTGCTGTGATGGCAGCAAGAATTTCAAGCCAGTGCTGGGCTCCATGGGGGTGAGATCTGCTGAGCAAGACCACTTGGCTCCCTGGCTTCAGCCCCCTTTCCAGGGGAGTGAATGGTTCTGTCTCACTGGGGTTCCAGGTACCACTGGGGTATGAAAAAAAACTTCTGCATCTAGCTCAGTGGCTGCCCAAACGGCTGCCCAGTTTTGTGCTTGAAACCTAGGGCCCTGGTGACGTGGGCACCCGAGGGAATCTCCCAGTCTGCAGGTTGCAAAGACCATGGGAAAAGTGTAGTATTTGGGCCAGAGTGCACTGTCCCTTATGGCACAGTCCCTCAGGGCTTCCCTTGGCTAGGGGATGGAGTTCCCCGACCCCTTGTGCTTCCTGGATGAGGGGACACCCCTCCCTGATTCTGCCCACCCTCTGTGGGCTGTACCCATTGTCTAACCAGTCCCAACGAGATGAACTGGTTACCTCAGTTGGAAATGCAGAAATCACTGGCCTTCTGCTTTGGTCTCAGTGGGAGCTGCAGACTGGAGCTTTTCCTATTTGGCTATCTTGCCTGGGAATCCCTCCATTCTATTTTCAAAGACAAAAAAAAAAAAAAAAAACACCTTTTATTCCTCTTTCCTCTTTTAGTTAAGGCCTTTCTCAGTTTTAGTCACTTAATGGTCTGGATATATTCTCATTATATTCCATGCTCAACATAAAGAAGTGAAACTGTAGCATGTCCCTGGAGAAAAGTAGTGTACTTACATATTTGGAGCTTATATTAATATCTAACTGGTGCTTATGCCTGCAGATGCTGTCCCACTAGTAGGCCCTTGTTCTGTCAATGTGTTTCTAGGTCAACTGTTTGCATGCTTTTCTAATAAATGAGCCAGACAGTATCCTGACCTACCTGCCCTTTGAATGTCTGATTCAAAGGAGAATAAGAGCAATTAATGCTTAATTATATTCCATTAGCAAAAAGTAAGAAAACAACCTTTTGTGTCAAATATTAAAGTTGCCTCATTTTCTATACTCAGATTTAATTCTCCCAGGGCCAGTTTCCTTCCATGGTAATATTCGACACTCTGAAACTCTCACTATTGTACTTTTTGCACTTTTGAAAAATGTCAGCACTCAATTTTATAGCATTTGATTTAATGCTTTTGGGGGCACTTTCAACTTTTCATAATATATCGCCATCTCCCAAAAATGTGTGATAGGCACAGTGAAGGTAGCAGTCAGAATAAAAGGTCAGTATATAGATCGAAGTGTTATAAGACATCAATAAGGATAATGGACTAAAAAAAATTCAAAGCAGAAACTAACTTCTTTAGCACCTCATCATCTTGTTATCACCTTATTACCAAATTCCCTGAAGTGTTTTTCATTTTGAGAATGTGCTATGTTGAAACTTGCATAGCATTACTTCTTGAAATGTTCCAAACGTTTAACAAAATGATCTAAAGTAATAACATCACTTTTTTTTGGAATGCAGCCACACATATACAACTTTTTCCTTTTGTTTAGTCTGTACAAACTATGGGACTTCCAATTATAACTTCATTTTTATGTTATCTAACCTAGAAAACTGACCATAGGCCTTGTTCTGTAGACAATATATCTTAAAATACAAACTTAAAATATATCAACTTTTAACCCTGTAAAATGTACTCAAAAGAATATTCAATGTTCCTTGAAATAAAATAGATAAATAGATTTAAGATGATCCTTGTATGGCCCAAGCCAGTAGATAAAGGGCTATTTCCTTTTGCTCAACATAAAATTTACAAATTATTTAGACATTGTAAAATCAAAGCATGATTAAAAGCATTGAGCATCAAGTTCCCATTCTTACCCTAACTACCAGGAAATCTCAGATGCCAACATTCAAGTTCCTATATAGGTCTTGAAGCCATACCATAAGAAATGATTAGCCTGAAGACAGCTGAGTTTGAATGGTTGAAAGACTGTCAGTCAGTCGTTTATTGTTCAACAAATACTTATTTGATATTAACTACATGCCATTCACATTGGAAGAAGAATATTGCTCAAAAGAGTACAAGTCTAGCCAATGATTACATCTACAACAGTTGGGAGACTCAGATCAATATAAAGATTTTCTTTTTAGTCCCGAATTGGGTCAAGTTCTTGCAAAGGGAATATTATGGAGAGCTAAAAATCTGGCCATCAAAGCTGTGTATCTCTAATCTAGGAACTCACTCAGTTCCCATGCCCCCAGATTCTGCTTCTAGTAAGTAGCTCCTTGGTGAGAACTATAGATCTGTATTTCTGACTAGTAATTCAGATGCAAAACTAACTTTAAGAACTACTAATTTAGACTAAAATCTTGATCAGATATGGTCACACCTTATGTGTCTTTCTACCTTAGCAAACCTGTGCCTAACACATCAGAACTTCATAAATATTTATTGAATGCCTGAATCAATAAGTGAATGAAATCATTGCATCAAAGAAAAAGAGTATCATTGAGATACTCATTGGCCATGAGTATCATTGACATGTTGGCACTGGAAGAGTCCTTAAATTATGAGAAGAATGTTTAGTTCTCTTCCTAAAATGAAGCAAACACCAAAAATGGATTTTCATGGAGCAGCTATGGGACAATGAGCAGATACTTTCAGAATGGAGAACATCCAGCATCTCAACCCAGATGACAAAAGATGTAGCCTACTTGGCCAGTAATTGGGATCTACCCTAATGCTATGAGATTACTCCTATATGTTTGGTGCTTCATGTTATATGAGCATTACCAGTGCACTCCATGAAAAGCTTAATTGCCATTTATAAAACACATAAGTCCTGATTAAAATATGGGAGGATATAATAGATTTCCATTTAGAACCTGCACTTCAGTTGGTGTTAATTTTGCCATGTAATTTAGCATGAGATGCAAATGGAAAGAACAAGCAAATACAAATTTAATAAAAATGGAAACACTCCACCTACCCATTATAAAATTTCTTCACAGGACCAATGCAAAGAAGATTAAGATAGCGTATTATTTCTACGACAGCTGATAAAGTGTTTCCAATTGATACACAATTTTCACTAAAAAAAGGTACATTTTCAAAAAAAAAAGTGTATTGAAGAAGAAAGATTCCGCCTCTCCAAGAATTTACATAGTATAGATTGATTTTTCCCTATGTTAATATAAAGTATTTGATAACTTCAATGTAAAAATATGATCAAGGTATTCCTTAACAACCAAACTAAGATTTCGAAAATCAGGATTTGACGGACTATCTGAAAAATAAATTTGACACTAAAGAGGTCTTTATATTTTTAAAACTTACAAAATTGGTGCGTATTTTTGCTCCCCATGCACGAACTTGGTCAAGATTTTTAAAATAAAAGATAACATACATACAGTAAAGCACACAAATCTCAATGAATTCTTACATATGTACAAAACCATGTAACCACAACCCAAATCAAGCTAGGTAACATTTTTCAGCACCCCAGGAGGCTCTCTTATGTCCCCTGATAGTACATACCCTCTCTCACAAGGGTAATTACTATCCAGTTAGGACATTTTAGTAAAACTAAAAATAAGTGAAAAGTTACCAGTAAAGGACAGCTGCATCTAAAATTTGAATTTTTTTTTTTATTCTTTTTACTTACTTGATGGAAGCTTCAGATGTATCTTCTTAGTAATGGAAACACTATAAGAGACTGTTTCAAATGCATGCTCTTAAAAGAAAAGCATTATTCTATATTCTATTATCCCACCTTGAAAACACATTGAATTTCATTTGTTAATTCCTTCAACTCATATTTACTGCATGACCATTATATGACAGCCATTGTTCTAGACTTTGTGAGCACAATCCTTCACAGCATAGTAAGGGTTGTGCTCTCCTGGAGCTTATAATTCTAGGTACAATACAAGTAAATGTGTAATAAAATAAGTTAATAAGAAAATACGCACATCTCAAAAGTGATCAGTTATAATAAACATACTAAGAGTTACGTAATGAAGTAGTGACAAGCAGTTGAGAACAACACTGGATTAGAGGAAAGGCTCTTCTCAGGAAATAACATTGAGGCTGAAACTGAATGATGAGAAGGCGTCAGCCATGAGAGTATCATACAAAAGAGAAAGAAGGTTCTAGGCCAAGCACAAAGGAACTAAATGGGGAGCAAACACAGACTGTATGCAAATTAAAAAGACCAGAACCATAGCTTCGAATTCCCCCAAAAGCAGAGGTTATACCACAGGTTTAGTTACAAGCAATTTATTGGAGGCAGTCCCAAGGAGCAAGGGAAAGACTCGGGACAGGAAGACAGGGCAGAGGGAAAAGCCGGCATTAAGCAGAGTTGTAGAGTCCCTACTTCGAGGATTCTATTCTGCTGGGACATCCTGAGTAGCCTACAGATTATCTGCAAGAAGTGTTCACCTAAAGGCAGAAGCAATTATCTGCTGACTTCCAGCCACGTTGGTTGAGAGTTTCCCCCGTGGGGCATTGACTCTGCTCCTTCAGACTGTGTTTTCACAAGGGTAGAAGAAATGGTTTGCTGTTTATGGTGAGAAGTTGTCAGAGTGCAGTGAGTCTGAGTTCCCAGGGAACTGTCAGCATAGTTACATTAAAAGTCAGTTGGAGCCGTGGTGATGTGGCATGGCACACCAAGGACATGTGAAGCAAGAGCACAGTGAGAGAGTGGAAAGAGTCCAGTCACAGAGTGGAACAGGGGCCAGATCATATCCAGCCCTGGAGGCCTTAGTAAGAAAGTTCCAACTTCGGCTTCCAAAATTTGGTTCCATATGTAAAGGAAGCCATTGCTCTAAATGCTAGGAGGTGTTGTGACTGATTATGGGCTGAATCAATTCTTTGAACAAAGGTGAATACTATGTTATAATATATATTTGGAATTTTTTGTAGAGTATTGCCTTCAGCTGCTGGGGAGTAAAATCACACTAATTATGGTTAAGTTACATGTTGAGTACATTTTGTTATCAAAGACATCCTACATGATCTAGCCTCTGTATAGTTTTTCAAATCTCCTTTTTGCTGAACTCTGGGCAAAAGTGGCTACTTTCCAGTCCTGAACTATGTCAGACTTTCTCTCATATCTTAGCATTCATATCTGTTGTTCACTATTTAAACATTTCCTATTCCTCACCTTACCCAATTTTGCATTTTTTATGTTTCGGATTAATTATTAATTCCACTGAAAACTCTCCCCCAACCATTTATCTAAAATAGGCCGCCTGCTGTGCTCTCCCATAGCACCAATGTGATATTCTCTTTTAGGACTTAATATAATGTGTCATTTTCTATTTAGTTACTTAATTCTTGTCTCACCATCTAGATTGCAAACTCAATGCAAAACGGGATGATATCTATTTCATTCAACACAGTTGTACAGTGCCTAGCAGTGCCTGGAATAGGGAAAAAGTTCAGTAAACGTTGAGTGGGTGAATGAATGAATGAATAAATAAAGCAAACTAACTCTGGTCGAGGCATGGCAGAGTGGATGGAAGGCCTGCTCCTCTGCCCCTCATGGAGGCTTATGGAACAACATCAAGGAACTCCAGTGTAAAACCAAATGCGATGTGACAGTTTTGCCTGTGGCAAATGGTGTATCCCTGAAAAAAAATTTGTATGAAGCTATTTATTGGAGACTTGAGTGACAACTTTTGTAATAAGACAAAGTATCCCTTAAATAGTCTGTTTTATATATTATGCTCTTCATAGCTTGAAGTTTCCTAAAGGAATTGGGACAGTCAGTAAAAATACTTTTGGTAATAAATGACTCCTGAACAACTTCAAGATTAGCTACTTCCTTTTTGTTCTTTTCAGAAAGAGATAACTTGATTTTAGATATTAGAGGTTGAAAGTAGCTGCAGGTTTTTTCAATTAAAAGTTCTAGTGTGTCTCTTCTTTTTAATGCAAAAGGCTAAATCAGTTTCAGGAAAATGCTGACACAGTATTAAGATAAATCATGTCCTGTCTTTAAAAATCCTATAGAATAGTCAACTTGTCTAAGTCTCAAGGATAACAATAGCTTCCTATATGTGATTAAACTAGCAAACAATTCCTTGTCGCTTGACCTGCATTTTTTTCTTGTTTCTATTTTACTTTAATTAGATTGAAAACAACTAATATAAACCAAGATTTTCTAACCCATGTTACACTTTAATGTAGATAAAATATATGCCAAATATTTGACCCTATTCTATAAGTAATGGAAATAACATTTTCAGGCTAAAGGTTAATATTTTGCATATTTGTGCCAAGGGGAGGTGGGGAAAAGGATTAACCTTAAGTGAAATAAATTCAACTTAAGATTTAGTAAGTTCTGGAAAAAAACGTATTTAAGTATGTATATTCAGACATAATTTTAAGTTGCTTAGAAAATTTTAATTCGGAACTGGAGTTTGCAATAACTCATAATTTATATATATTAGTTACCAAAGTATATTTTTACCAGGAAATAGTTCAGACCAATAAACAAAACTTCAAACGATTCTTGCTAAATACAATAAAATAAAAGTTCCCTCTGGCATTCAGAGATCTGCTCCATGCCATAACCTCTCTCAGAAGAGGTTTTTCTGAACCCAATAGGTAATCCCTTTCCAAATCAGTTCTATTTCTGTGCTATAGTGAGCCTAGCAGTTTTGGATTTGTTGAGTGAAGCAATTTAGGAATTGCTTCCTGCAGATGGAGATGCATTTTATAGTGAATCACTGGAGCTTTAAAAATAACAAACTGCTGGAAAAGAAGCTTAAAACGATCCCCCCAAATAGTGAAATCTTATCTAGCCCATCTGAAGGAGCAATTGAGGGGAAATAAACTAATTGAAACTATTGAAACAGCAGGGAAAGTTGGTTGTTCCTTTTATTCTTTTATCCATTTATTGTAAAAGAAAATTGTCACATCTAATAGTGTGTCAAAAAAAAAAAGTGTTAACTAGGTATAAATGCCTTTTGAAACTGTCCTTTACCATCCATAAGGTTATGGAACTAAGAAGCTTGCCTACAGCCAAAACACCTTTTGATGAGAAATGGCCATTGTACATGGCTTTTAAAGAAATAGCACAGTCCATTTTAACATCATGTCAACTGATTCCAAGAGATTTAGTCTTTTCCAGTGCAAAGAAGTTGCAAACTAAATCTTTTAATTGAAAAAGCCTGAAGCCACTTTCAGCCTCTTGTATTTAAAACTGAAATTACCCCTTTCAGGATTAAAAAAGAAAAAGAAAGAGAAAGGGGGTAGGAGGAAGCACATTATTTCAAAGGCAGCAAAGCAGTGATTTATTATCAGTAGTTCCTTCTTCAGGAAAACTGTTTTCAGTTATCTGATCTTTGTGTCTCAGTCTCAACAACTTAACACAAAATATTGGTCCAAGCCTGAATTAGTCAGGTTTCCATAAAGGGACAGAATAGATAGATAGATAGATAGATAGATAGATAGATAGATAGATACAGACAGACAGACAGACAGACAGATAGACAGAGATATAATGGGAAGTTTGTTAAGTTTTAACTTACATGATCACAAGGTCCCACAATAGGCTGTCTGCAAGCTTGAGGAGCAAGGAGAGGCAGTCCAAGTCTTAAAACTGAAGAACTTGGAGTCCGATGTTTGAGGGCAGGAAGCATCCAAGCACAGGAGAAAAATGTAGGCTGGAAGACTAGGCCATTTTTGCTGCCTGATTTATATTCGCTTGCAGCTGATTAGATGGTGCCCACCAGATTAAGGGTGGGTCTGTCTCCCCCAGCCCACTGACTCAAATGTTAATGTCCTTTGGCAACACCCTCACAGACACATGCAGGATTAATACCTTGCATCCTTCAATCCAATCAAGTTGACCCTCAGTATTAACCGTCACCATGCTCATGCCCTAAATATATGTAAATTTGAGCCCCAGTAGAATGAGTTTCCAGATAATACAACAGTTAAAATAAAATCACAGCATCTCTACTTCAGAATTAGTTTAAGATGGAAACTCTATATTTAATACGTTCAGTACAACAATAACCTAAGGAAAAAATGTTATGACTTCAAATAGAAGGTGACCACACCCCTGGTTTAGCTGGGATAGTCCCTGTTTACCCCTGTTATCCTGGCATCCTGTCCAGTTAGGCAGTCACCCCAGATGCTTCATTTTATAATGAATCATCATCATCATCATCAACAATAACAACAGTTGTATGGAAACGAGCTGAAATACTTTCTACTCAGTCAGCTTTCCTTCATGGACATAGTTTTCATCTTCACAACTATTCCCAAGAAGCTAACCAAACTGTCCCCAGGATGAACAGATATTTCATAGCTATTTCATGCGTGGTAATTGCATTTATAAGAGAAAGAGTATATATGCATTTAAGCCTAAAAAGGATTCTGCCACACCATGTCCCCATACACATGGGGATCTTTCTATTTAGATAAGTACAATGGATAAAAGCTTTTAGTGCAAACTTTACTGTTTTGTTGATATGTAAGTAGCTGCTCTAGTACTTTGAATTTGTAAGGTATTTGAGTCAAAGTTTATTTTTCTTCAGTAGCCTCTCCCTCTCTCCACCAACCAGCATTGTAATCCAGAGGTTTTCTTAATTATAATAAAAGCCTAATTATGTTTATGTTATTTTTAAAATAAGTTATATTGATAACTTATTCCTACACTACTGAAAATAGTTACTAGCATGTCCATGGATACATCAAATAATATATGCCTATAAATGAACTCATTATATTCTCCCTCGACTTTCTAAATTTATATATTCTTCAGTTTCAAGAATGGCACCAAAATCTACTCAGCTAGACAAACCAGAAACCAATCATCAAGTTAGATATTTTTCTCCCTGAAATAGGGGGAGGTTCCCAGATGGACAAATAGGAACAGCTCCAGTCTACAGCTCCCAACGTGAATGACATAGAAGACAGGTGATTTCTGCAGTTGCACCTGAAGTACCGGGTTCATCTCACCAGGGCTTGTTGCACACTGGGTACAGCCCATGGAGCAGGGCAGGGCATCGTCTCACCCAGGAAGCATAAGGAGTCGGGGAATTCCCTTTCCTAGCCAAGGGAGGCCATGACAGACAGTACCTGGAAAATCGGGACACTCCCACCCTAATACTGCACTTTTCCAATGGTCTTAGCAAATGGCACACCAGGAGATTATATCCCGTGCCTGGCTCAGAGGGTCCCACACCCATAGAGCCTCACACACTGCTAGCACAGCAGTCTGAGATTGAACTACGAGGTGACAGCAAGGGTGGGGGAGGGGCGTCTGCCATGGCGGAGGCTTGAGTAGGTAAACAAAGCAGCCAGGAAGCTCGAAGTGGGTGGAGCCCACCGCAGTTCAAGGAGGCCTGCCTGCTTCTGTAGACTCTGCCTCTGCGGGCAGGGCATAGCTGAACAAAAGGCAGCAGAAACTTCTACAGACTTAAACGTCCCTATCTGACAGCTTTGAAGAGAGTAGTGGTTCTCCGAGCATGGAGTTTGAGATCTGAGAATGGATAGACTGCCTCCTCAAGTGGGTCCCGGACCCCCGAGTAGCCTAACTGGAAGACACCTCCCAGTAAGGGCCGACTGACACCTCATACAGCCAGGTGCCCCTCTGAAACGAAGCTTCCAGACCAAGGATCAGGCAGCAACATCTGCCGTTCTACAATATTTGCTGTTCTGCAGCCTCCACTGGTGATACCCAGGAAAACAGGGTCTGGAGTGGACCTCCAGGAAACTCCAACAGACCTGCAGCTGAGGGTCCTGACTGTTAGAAGGAAAACTAACAAACAGAAAGGACATCCACACCAAAACCCCATCTGTACATCACCATCATCAAAGACCAAAGGTAGATAAAACCACAAAGATAGGGAGAAACCAGAGCAGAAAAGCTGAAAATTCTAAAAGTCAGAGTGCCTCTTCTCCTCCAAAGGAACACAGCTCCTCACCAGCAATAGAACAAAGCTGGATGGAGAATTATTTTGACGAGTTGAGAGAAGAAGGCTTCAGATGATCGGTAATAACAAACTTCTCTGAGCTAAAGGAGGATGTTCGAACCCATTGCAAAGAAGCTAAAAACCTTCAAAAAGGTTAGATGAATGGCTAACTAGAATAAACAGTGTAGAGAAGACCTTAATTGACCTGATGGAGCTGAAAACCATGGCACAAGAACTACGTGATGCATGCACAAGCTTCAGTAGCCGATTTGATCAAGTGGAAGAAAGGGTAACAGCGACTGAAGATCAAATGAATGAAATGAAGCAAGAAGAGAAGTTTAAGAAAAAAGAGTAAAAAGAAATGAACAAAGCCTCCAAGAAATATGGGGCTATGTAAAAAAAACAAATCTACGTCTGATTGGTGTACCTGAAAGTGTTGGGAAGAATGGAACCAAGTTGGAAAACACTCTCAGGATATTATCCAGGAGAACTTCCCCAACCTAGCAAGGCAGCCCAACAGTCAAATTCAGGAAATACAGAGAACGCCACAAAGAAACTCCTTGAGAAGTGCAACTCCAAGACACGTAATTGTCAGATTCACCAAAGTTGAAATGAAGGAAAAAAACATTAAGGGCGGCCAGAGAGAAAGGTCAGGTTACCTACAAAGGGAAGCCCATCAGAATAACAGCAGATCACTCAGCAGAAACTCTACAAGCCAGAAGAGAGTGGGGGCCAATATTCAACATTCTTAAGGAAAAGAATGTTCAACCCAGAATTTCATATCCAGCCAAACTAAGCTTCATAAGTGAAGGAGAAATAAAATACTTTACAGACAAGCAAATGCTGAGAGATTTTTGTCACCACCAGGCCTGCCCTAAAAGAGCTCCTGAAGGAAGCACTAAACATGGAAAGGAACAACCAGTACCAGCCGCTGCAAAATCATGCCAAATTGTAAAGACCATCAAGGCTAGGAAGAAACTGCATCAACTAACGAGCAAAATAACCAGCTAACATCATAATGACAGGATCAAATTCACACATAACAATATTAACCTTAAATGTAAATGGGCTAAATGCTCCAATTAAAAGACACAGACTAGCAAATTGGATAAAGAGTCAAGACCCACCAGTGTGCTGTATTCAGGAGACCCATCTCACATGCAGAGACACACATAGGCTCAAAATAATGGGATGAAGGAAGATCTACCAAGCAAATGGAAAACAAAAAAAAAGCAGGGGTTGCAATTCTAGTCTCTGATAAACAAGACTTTAAATCAACAAAGATCAAAAGAGACAAAGAAGGCCATTATATAATGTTAAAGGGATCAATTCAACAGGAAAAGCTAACTATCCTAATATATGCACCCAATACAGGAGCACCCAGATTCATAAAGCAAGCCCTTAGACACCTAAAGAGACTTAGACTCCCACACCATAATAATGGGAGACTTTAACACCCCACTGTCAATATTAGACAGATCCATGACACAGAAAGTTAACAAGGATATCCAGGAATTGAACTCAGCTCTGCACCAAGAGGACCTAATAGACATTTACAGAACTCTCAACCCCAAATCAACAGAATGTACATTCTTCTCAGCACCACATCGCACTTATTCCAAAACTGACCACATAGTTGGAAGTAAAGCACTCCTCAGCAAATGTAAAAGAACAGAAATTATTACAAACTGTCTCTCAGACCACAGTGCAATCAAACCAGAACACAGGATTAAAAAACTCAGTCAAAACCGCTCAACTACATGGAAACTGAACAACCTGCTCCTGAATGACTACTGGGTACATAACGAAATGAAGGCAGAAATAAAGATGTTCTTTGAAACCAATGAGAACAAAGACACAACAAACCAGAATCTCTGGGACACATTTAAAGCAGTATGTAGAGGGAAATTTATAGCACCAAATGCCCACAAGAGAAAGCAGGAAAGATCTAAAATTGACACCCTAACAACACAATTAAAAGAACTAGAGAAGCAAGAGCAAACATATTCAAAAGCTAGCAGAAGGCAAGAAATAACTAAGATCAGAGCAGAACTGAAGGAGATAGAGACACAAAAAACTCCTCAAAAAATCAACGAATCCAGGAGCTGGTTTTTTGAAAAGATCAACAAAATTGATAGACCGCTAGCAAGACTAACAAAGAAGAAAAGAGAGAAGAATCAAATAGACACAATAAAAAATGATAAAGGGGATATCACCACCGATCCCATGGAAATACACACTACCATCAGAGAATACTATAAACACATCTATGCAAATAAACTAGAAAATCTAGAAGAAATGGATAAATTCCTTGACACATACACCCTCCCAAGACTAAACCAGGAAGAAGTTGAATCCCTGAATAGACCAATAACAGGTTCTGAAATTGAGGCAATAATTAACAGCCTACCAACCCAAAAAAGTCCAGGACCAGACGGAATCACAACGGAATTCTACCAGAGGTACAAGGAGGAGCTGGTACCATTCCTTCGGAAATTACTCCAATCAATAGAAAAAGAGGGACTCCTCCATAACTCATTTTGTGAGGCCAACATTATCCTGATACCATGCCTGGCCGAGACACAACAAAAAAAGAGAATTTTAGACCAATGTCCCTGATGAACATCAATGCAAAAATCCTCAATAAAATACTGGCATACCAAATCCAGCAGCACATCAAAAAGCTTATCAACCATGATCAAGTTGGCTTCATCCCTGGGATGCAAGCCTGGTTCAACATAAGCAAATCAATAAATGGAATCCATCATATAAACAGAACCAAAGACAAAAACCACATGATTATCTCAATAGATGCAGAAAAGGGCTTTGACAAAATTCAGCAGGTCTTCATGCTAAAAACTCTCAATAAACTAGGTATTGATGGGACATATCTCAAAATAATAAGAGCTATTTATGACAAACCCACAGCCAATATCATACTGAATGGGCAAAAACTGGAAGCATTCCCTTTGAAAACTGGCACAAGACAGGGATGCCCTCTCTCATCACTCCTATTCAACATAGTGTTGGAAGTTCTGGCCAGGGCAATTAGGCAGGAGAAAGAAATAAAGAGTATTCAATTAGGAAAAGAGGAAGTCAAATTGTCCCCGTTTGCAGATGACATGATTGTATATTTAGAAAACTCCATCATCTCAGCCCACAATCTCCTTAGGCTGATAAGCAACTTCAGTAAAGTCTCAGGATACAAAATCGATGTCCAAAAATCACAGGCATTCCTATATACCAATAACAGACAAACAGAGAGCCAAATCATGAGTGAACTCCCATTCACAATTGCTTCAAAGAGAATAAAATATCTCGGAATCCAACTTACAAAGGATGTGAAGGACCTCTTCAAGGAGAACTACAAACCACTGCTCAATGGAAGAACATTCCATGCTCATGGATAGGAAGAATCAATATCGGGAAAATGGCCATACTGCCCAAGGTAATCTATAGATTCAATGACATCCCCATCAAACTACCAATGACTTTCTTCACAGAATTGGAAAAAAACTACTTTAAAGTTTATATGGAACCAAAAAAGAGCCCACATTGCCAAGACAATCCTAAGCCAAAAGAACAAAGCTGTTGGCATCATGCTACCTGACTTCAAACGGTACTACAAGGCTATGGTAACAAAAACAGCATGGTACTGGTACCAAAACAGAGATATAGACCAATGGAACAGAACAGAGCCCTCAGAAATAATAGCACGCATCTACAACCATCTGATCTTTGACAAATCTGGCAAAAACAAGAAATGGGGAAAGGATTCCCTATTTAACAAATGGTGCTCGGAAAACTGGCTAGCCATATGTAGAAAGCTGAAATTGGATTCCTTCCTTACACCTTATACAAAAATTAATTCAAAATGGATTAAAGACTTAAATGTTAGGCCTAAAACCATAAAAACTGTAGAAGAAAACCTAGGCAATACCATTCAGGACATAGGCATGGGCAAGGACTTCATGACTAAAACATCAAAAGCAATGGCAACATAAGCCAAAATTGACAAATGGGATCTAATTAAACTAAAGAGCTTCTGCACAGCAAAAGAAACTACCATCAGAGTGAACAGGCACCCTACAGAATGGGAGGAAAATTTTACAATCTACCCAAATGACAAAGGGCTAATATCCAGAATCTACAAAGAACTTAAACAAATTTACAAGAAAAAATAAAAAAAACCCATCAAAAAGTGAGCAAAGGATATGAACAGACACTTCTCAAAAGAAGACATTTATGCACATGAAAAAAATGCTCATCATCACTGGCCATCAGAGAAATGCAAATCAAAACCACCATGAGATACCATCTCATACCAGTTAGAATGGCAATCATTAAAAAGTCAGGAAACAACAGGTGCTGGAGAGGATGTGGAGAAATAGGAATACTTTTACACTGTTGGTGGGACTGTAAACTAGTTCAACCATTGTGGAAGACAGTGTGGGGGATTCCTCAAGGATCTAGAACTAGAAATCCCATTTGACCCAACGATCCCATTACTGGGCATATATCCAAAGGAATATAAATCACGCTACTATAAAGACACATGCACATGTATGTTTATTTCAGCACTATTCACAATAGCAAAGACTTGGAACCAACCCAAATGTCCATCAATGATAGACTGGATTAAGAAAATGTGTCACATATATACCATGGAATACTATGCAGCCATAAAAAAGGATGAGTTCATGTCCTTTGTAGGGACATGGATGAAGCTGGAAATCATCATTCTCAGCAAACTATCACAAGAACAGAAAACCAAGCATCTCATGTTCTCACTCATAGGTGGGAATTAAACAATAAGAACACTTGGACACAGTGTGGGCAACATCACACACCGTGTCCTGTCATGGGGTGTAGGGAGGGGGGAGGGATAGCATTAGGAGATATACCTAATGTAAATGTCGAGTTAATGGGTGCAGCACACCAACATGGCACATGCATACATATGTAACAAACCTTCACGTGTGCACATGTACCCTAGAATTTAAAGTATAATAAAAAAATAAAAAACAAAAAAAGATATTTTTCTCCCTGAGCATCTCTCAAATTATTTCTCTCCATGCCCACTTCCACTAAGCTTATCTACACTTCTGCTTGGATTTCTGTGTATAACTCAGGGTTTGGTCAAGAGACAGAGCCACACAGTAATTTAGGAAAGTTTAATATGAAGATTTATTATCCAGTAACATGGGATTAATTTTTAAGATGCAAAGAGTACATTAAATATTTTAGGTGGGCCAGGCATGGTGGCTCACGCCTGTAATCCCAGCACTTTGGGAGGCCAAGGCAGGCAGATCACCTGAGGTCAGGAGTTGAGACCATCCTGGCCAACATGGCAAAACATCATCCCTACTAAAAATACAAAAATTAGCCAGGCATGGCGGCATGTGCCTGTAATCCCAGCTACTTGAGAGGCTGAAGTAGGAGAATTGCTTGAACCCAGAAGGTGGAGGCTGCAGTGAACCGAATTCACACCACTGCACTCCAGCCTGGGTGACAAGAGCGAGACTAGGTCTAAAAAAAAAAAAAAAAAAACCATATTTAGGTATAGTGGATGTAGGAGCCATTCCTACCTCTAGGGCTGAGAAACAGTGCTCCAAGGAACAAATCAGAAGACACACATATACACTCACACACATACACACACACATGCACACTTACACACACATACCTACACACTTGTGCACACACACACACACACCACCTGGTATGCAGAGCACGATGGAGAGTGTGGCCATTGAGTGACAGAAAAGTTCACTGTGATACCCCAGTCCAAGACTGGGAAAGAAGAAGCCATATAATGGGGCGCTGCTGAAATGCACTGGGAAGCTACCCTCTGGGACTCTAGGGAGCTCACTGAGAAGCCACCACAAAGATGCTGCTGAACTTGCTAGAATTCCTGCCCACTGGGGCGTCTATGAAACTGTTTCAAGCCACTCACTATAAGGTCCAGGAAAACTTACTAGAAAGCCACACTTGAAGGTGCTGCTGAACTTGCTAAGAATTTGCCCACTGGGACACCTAGAAGCTGGAAAGTTGGGTGGGTCATGGGCTGTCTCCTGGTGGTAATTCTCCAGGGGAGGTGCTGTGGAACTTGCTGGGGGTGAGCAGCACTGAGTTTCCTGCGCGTGCCTCCAGCAGGAGTAAGAAGACAGGAAAGAACGGCAGAGCTAGGAAGAGAACCTCTTCTTCCTTCAGTGTCCCAAGTGCCCTCTACTGACAAAGCTTAACATCCCCCCAGTTGGCAAAGGGAATGTGTTTACAGGGTCCAGCTCCAGCATCACAAGGAAGGATTATAAAGGGTAGATTTGGAACTAACAAACAACACATTCTTTTTTTTTCTTTCTTTTTGAGATGGAGTCTCACTCTGTTGCCCAGGCTGGAGTGCAGTGGCATGATCTCGGCTCACTGAAACCTCCACCTCCTGGGTTCCAGTGATTCTCCCACCTCAGCCTCCTGAGTAGCTGGAATTACAGGCATGTGCCACCACACCCAGCTAATTGTTTGTATTTTTAGTAGAGATGGGGTTTCACCATGTTGGCCAGGATGGGATTGAACTCCTGACCTCAAGTGATCTGCCCACCTCAGCCTCCCAAAATGCTGAGATTATAGGCATGAGTCACCACGCCCAGCAGATGATAAATTAATAACGGGGAAAACTCTGTCCCTGGGTTTACTGTTCTCCAGACATTTTCCCCAGAATAATAATTCTAAAACATAATATAATTCATTCCCTCATCAAAAACGTTTCAATGTCTATTGCCAATAAGTTAAAGTGAAAATTCTTAAAAGGACCAAGGCCGCTTCTTGCATCTCAGCTCAGATCTACTTATACTCTATGCTTCAAATATATTGATAGGATTAAATTAAGTGAAATTCTAGCATTGGAAAGAAATACTTGTTATTGGGAATTGGGGTAAGAGGAAAAAAGGATGGAGAATAAGTGCTGGAAGAGATAATGTGGAAGTCAAGAGAGGTGCTGAAGGCTAAAATTTTATCTATAGAGTAGGAAGTGAAGTCACTTCCTCTGAGCAGAGATCACAGGACTGGGAAAGATCTGAACAACGATTGGGTAGAAGGAGAATTTGATATTTAATCAAATTTGATGAATTTTGATGAAGTGGTGAATTTTATATTGTCCCTTACAACTGTGCACCTAACTTCATCTCTAGGCTTCAGATTATAATCTAAATATACCACGGGGTTCAAGAGGTAGGCATTAAACATCTTGCCAGTTAGTAATCTCTGGTTTACATTGCTCAGTACACTGACTCTATATAAAGAGATTTGGGACAATTCCAAAAGTCACCTGCTTGCTCTAAGTGGCAGACACAAACTACTTTTAGAGCAAGCCTGCCAAATCAACATATTTAGAAGCAAGAACACCTCTAAATTTCTTGCTTTTTTTCCAACTCAAAATTGGAGTGTAAAGATTTGACAAAAGAAAGGCTGTGGAATAAGTGAGAAACTGCAAAAAAAATTAAATTCTCATTGCAAATTCAACATAGGAATACCCATAAAGGATACTTTGGGTTCATAAATGTATACCTTTCTAGAGAGTTGTTATCTACTATTCATTTTTAAGGAATAAATTTTCCACCCACAGCAATTTTGTAAATAATTCTTAATATCAGAAAAGAACAACCATCGACGTTGTGTGCTGTGTTTCTACCTTCCTGATAACTGGTGAATTCACCATGGTAACAGTTGAGTAGAAACTGTGTGTATGTGAACATTACTGAGGTCAGGGGAATGGGTGAAATGGCACTTTGCTGGCTTAAATATTTTAAGATAATTTTTTATGTCTTTTTAGTGGAAATTAAAATAACATTTTAAAAGCTCATACCAACTCTTCTAGCCTTAAATAGCTTCAAAATAGGCACATTATCTTTACAGGAAATTACCTGAGAGCTCCAGAGCTTCATAAGCACTGCATTTACAGATTCTGTTATATTGAATCCTGCCCAGATTGCCCTTACCATGCAGGGGGCTGGAGACTGGCTAATTTTACAGTGAGCACAGAGTGAGAAAAATTTATTATGAAATTGTAGTTTGGGCACAGAGTATAATTCTAAGATCCTGAGATTTTTTTTATGGGGGGAGGGTAATTCTAGACACTGAAATGATACATTCATTTGACAAACAATTATTAATGCATTATTTTATTTTTTCACCCACAATACCCTACACCTTATCCTTCTTTCCCAACCCACTTCTCTTTGTACCAGATTTCATCATATTTGTCTTATTCCACCATTAACTGATTCAGACACAACTAATTACATGTTTCATTTATTCTTACCTCCTTTTCCTAATATATAATGAGCAGCTGATCAATGCCAAGTACTGTGCTGGGCACATTCTCACACATACCTCATTTAATGTATTTAGATAATGGCCATGTTTACTATGTTAGCTCCCCTTTTGGGCTTCATGTTCTCCAAGTCTGCTCCCTTGGAAGCAAAACTTTAATTTCATTTCATAAGAACTAGAGGGTCACAAGGCCAGAGATATGGAAAAGATATCTCTTTCTGGAAAGGAGATCCTGATGCACTTGCTGGGGAAGAAATTTTGGTCATTTTTCTTTACCAATGAAGTTTATTTTTTTGTAAAGTGAACCATGCCTGTCAGAGAGAGAAAGAAAGAAGGAAGAGGGAAGAGAGAAGGCGAGAGATTATACCATATATTCCATTTTTCTTTGCAAAATGCCTACAAGATTAAATTGGACAGATACTAGAACAAGAAAAAAAGTGTTTTTAATTGTTTATGGATTTTCCATTTTATGTATTATTTATTCCTATGTCATTCTATGACTTTTATTTGCTCTTACCCTTTCTTATCTTGTTCCTGCCTTTAGAAAAACCCTTTCATATAAAGAAAAAAGTTTCTATAGCAGAGGACATTTTCCCTGAGCTCTCTGTTCATGGGTATATTATATAGACTATGTTTCTCCAAGTTCACTTTCTAGGCCACCACAAAGTAATTTTGGTTTTGCATTTTTTTCCCATTATTTTCATGCTTGGCTACTTTTAAAAAGTTATAAATGAAAAATGACACACGTAGTGGTGTGCCTTACAGCACAAAATAACATCCATTTAGGCAGTTCTGTCCTAGAAACAGACAAAGAAAAATCTATCTACAGTACTAGAGCCAGAGTCTCCACACACAGCTAACAACTCATTTGACAGAAATTCCAATTTTTTAAGGAAGATTCTTGCAGGGGAGAGGGGAAGTATTCTTTGTAATTAGCAGGCTCTTATCATGGTGTTGTGAAATTCATGAAAAAGATGGAAAGTTCTACTTGAACCACAGCTACTTGGGATCTCATTTGCATACCTCCTAAAGCCTGGGCTGTGGTGCTATCAGAGCCGATACATAGAGATGGGTTATTTCCGCCAGTAGCAATTTTATTTTTCAGAACTATCTGGAGACATTATTCATAAGGATTCATTTCTGCACTCTTTCCTGCTGAGAACCTCCCTCTCTTGACACTGTGGGTGGCCAACTTTGAAATCGGCTAATGATCTGTTAGATACAAAGAGTGCAAGAAGAGTTATTTATTTTTTTAAGTTAATACATGCAGGAGTCCTTTTAGTTCTAGAAGATTTTTGGCATCTAGCTGTGTTATATAAGTAGTGGGCACCCTTTTCAAGCCAGCTTCTTTGATTTTTTTTAATCAGCTAAATTTTTCTAAAGGTAACTTTTAATACTCATAGAAATGACAGTTAATATTCTTACCGTATTGTAGACTTGTAATCAAATATCCCGTAGCAGTTACAATTCCAAAATATATAGTTGTTGGCATATGCTTAGATAGGTGGTATTTTTTTAACTAAGCTTTAAAATGACCGAGTGAATTTTTTCCTCTTTTATGTTGAAGTTAAACATAATGCACATGCAGTAGACTGTATATGGCACTCCTAAAATGAAAACCTTCTCATCTTTGTACTTTGACGGATATATGTGTTTTCAGATATATGTTGGTCAAAAGTCAAAACATAGCCCAAAAACAGAAATAAAATTATAATATCCTGTAAGGACACAATAATAACTAATGCCCATCAAGCTTTCACTCTGGAGAGAATATTTGTCTCAGAGGGATGGGTTTAAGTAAAAGTAGGCTATGCAAAAGAGTCTCCTAATGACATTTTTTAAAGGCAGACTCTTGAGCCTTACTTTAGACATTCTAAATCAGAATCTCAGAGGGCAAGAGGAGCATGGAAATCTGCATTTAGCAAACGCATTCAGGAGAGTCCCTGGTAATCCTTTGGTGCCAGTTCACAGACCAGCTTTTAGTAACTACTGTCATCTGAATCCACATATTACAGAGCTAAGGCCTTAAAATACTTGATACTTTCTCTATTCCTTTGTCACATACTATGTATCTTACAGAGATTTGTTCGTGCCTTTATGATGTCTCCTACAAAGAATGCAAAAGCGAGTCTTATTCACCACTTGGCACATGGATCCATCCATGATGTAGGTGCACAACAAACTTTGGATGGCAGCAATTGCCAAAATAAATATGGTCCTCTGGTGTATAGGTAAAAACTTCACCATAATCTGGATTATTTCGCAGACCTACTTTTAATTCAGAAAAATCTCCTGACTTGCTTACAGGACAATTTCCAAAAAAAGGTTTCTATGTGGTTTACAGGTCTTGTGAAGGATAAAATTTTTAAAAATTTAGGGATGAAAAGATATATTCCATGAAAAAAATATATTTCATATAAATATATTCTCTCAAAGCTAATTATAATAAGCAGTGACTAATTCACAGCAATAATGTAATATTTAAAGTAAACTGAGCAAAAGAGGGTGACACTGTTTTGAAAACTATTTCCAAAAGTCAACTGTCTTACATAAGATCCATCAGTCTTAGAGCATTCCCTTTCTGGGTCAACACTGCCTTTTGCTACAAGATGTAGAGAGACATCAAAGTAGGTCAAGTGGCAGAGAAAACAGCAGGCTTGGTAGCTTTTGAAGAAGTTGTGATTTAATAACAGGATCTGACAAGATCTGGATAGGAGAAACCTTTGAGTCCAGGTATAACACAGACGATAGCAAAGATAGATTTAGAAAACAAAAACTACTGGTGAAATGTCTGACACTCCAAGAAGTCTTTTGGAACTTTGAGGTACAATTTGAAGTGCCATCATCTGGCAACATCTCAATTGAGTAAAGCTGACTCTTGCTAATGAGGTGCTAATGGGATATCAAGACAGGCCAGAAGACTCTGAACACTTGCCCTTGGTTAGATATGGTGAGCTTCCCTTTTCTTGGAGAGTTTTCTATAAAATTTCTAGTTCTCTCTCTACTCTAGTTGCCTGCTGACATACAGATGCACACAGTTAGTCGTCTCCGCATGAATTTACACAACCAACTTCTGACAACACCTGATGAAAGCAGAAAGAGGAAATGGGGCTTGATTTATCAATAGGACCTGATTAAAAATAGTGCTTTCCTTGGTTTTCACCATAAAATCATCTTTCCTGCATGCCAAATCTGTTTAGCTTTATATGATTAAAGCATTTAAATCAATCAATGCTTAGATTAGTTTGACTTTCACATATGAGGCATTCTCCTTGATCTGAAAAAGACTAATTTGGTCCTTCCAGAAGGCAGCTCTCAAGAATGCTACTTTCCTAGACTTTATCCCAGAATACAAATGCTTAATACTGACCTTTCAACTCCAAGTAAGGTCAGTGGAAGCAAAGTTATATCAGATTTATCCATTACCCCCAAACAACATTAAGTTTCTAACGTATACTTTAGGTCACACCAGAAATATTTCTGTACCTGCTAGGTGGTCCGGCTGTGCTTTTATCGCTATTCTCAGGAAACAAGGAACAGCATTAGCTAAGCAGTCCTCAAAACTTTATTTCTCGGAAACAGAAAATCTTGCTCAGGATACTTTATAACCATCTTAGGGGCATCGATATATAATTTTTTCCCAATTCTGAAAACTTATGAGATTCCATATCTGTCTGCAATGTGTAGAATGCTATGCAGGTTTCCATGAAGGTTATAAAATGCATAAATTACTGATTACTTACAGGATAAGCCTTATGAGTTGGCAAAATCTGAAGGTCTCAAAGCCTTACAACCCCACCAAAGCCAGCTTTATCTGCTATCTGATACATAAACTTTCATAGTGTTTCACAACATTATCATGGAGAATATTAAAATATGAATATTTTTAGAAAAGGAAACACCTTCATATTTCTAAGTCAGGTCTCATTATGATGAAAAAAATGGTTCTTTCCTACACACAAATTTTGGAGTAAGGGGATTCAAAGACATGAGGAAGGTATTGAGAAACCATACAGATAGCTGGGGAAAAATTCATGGTATGGGTAAGATCTACAACTAGACTGGGAGGCTGTGTCATAAAAACATAAAAATATGTTAGTTTCCCAATTATCAGGGCTGATCCTGGCACCTATGCTTAAGAGCTAACAGTCGCATTGAGAAGATAAGATGTAAACTCCTAAGATCTGTATATGGCAAGGTGTATGAACTAATGTAATAAGAGAGCAAAAAAAAAAAGAAAAGATTAAATGGAATTCTTTAACTTCAAGTGACAAAATCCCAAATCAAACTGGCTTTAAAAATGTAAAAGCAGTGGAATATATTGTCTCACATAACTACAGAGTACTGGCTAGATCTGGTACCCAGATAATCAATAATCTATATTTCTCTGTCACTTATATTTACATTGCTAAGTATTAGCTATTTATTCTCAGCTAGGCTCTTCCCTCTGGACAGGCACACGCCACCATCAATTACCAGTGTAGCAACACCAGCAGATAAAAAGAGTACTCTCTGGAGAGTTCTAGCAGAGGTTGGCCAGTTGGCCTAGCGTGTCATGTATCCACCCTGCACTATACACTATGATTGGCACCGAGTGGAGACTGTGTCTCCCAGACAACATGGGCTGAGAATGGTGGAGGGGTGGGTCTTGGAAAGGAAAACGAAGGCATCTGTTACTTTAAATGGGGCAATGGATGCAGAGAGGCAGAAATAACAAACTCCAAGTCACTTCTCCCTCTTGAGAATGCTTCCCTGGCAGGTAAGAGGAGTATTTTTCCTGAGCTCTGCTTTCATGCACACTCACAGCCTGGGGCCACCAAACCATATTTTAAGCTGAAGAGTTATATAGTCATTATAGCTCCCCACTGTGTCTTATTTTCAGAATTACTACAAATGCAGCTCTTGGAGGACTTTGTCCTCAGAGTGGGGAAGCTTATCACCAGCTTAAAATTCTCCTCTGAGCTTTGAGTCTAAGATGTTTTTTGCTAATAGACATTTGATGCACTTTATTAAGGCAGCACCACACATATTCAATGAAGCCCTGAAAAGGCACCCAGTGTGAAATAAAAGATGAGACAAATCAAAAATAAAAATAGATGGCTTAAAATAGAATTCATGGCTTCAGATAATCTATAAAGCTATTAATCTGCTTTCAGTGGAAAGCACACAGCTACAAATATTCAAAAGTTGAAACAGAAAAGAGGGAGAAAAAAGTCACTTATTAGAAAAGATGCAATTATAATTTTATTTGCATATGTGTTCATGCATGTGTATATATGTGTATGTGTGTAGAAAATATCAGTTGTTTCCTAATGAATTTTTAAATTTTTTCCCTTCTCAGTGATAATGAAAATCTGTTTTGTGAGTGTCCAAGGCTGTATTCAGGCAAGCTGTGCCAGTTTGCAAGTTGTGAAAACAACCCATGTGGAAATGGTGCCACCTGTGTTCCAAAATCCGGAACAGATATTGTCTGCCTCTGCCCATATGGGAGGTCTGGACCCCTCTGCACTGATGGTAAGAGCATTTGATTATTAAACATGGAGCACAGACAGAAAGAGGTGAAGAGGATAGAAATCACTCAGATGAATCAAGGATAGCACTTGACTGATCAAATACATCAAATCTTCTTCTGGGTTCTTTTCAAGTTAGTTGAGACAAGACCCATTAGTGAGACTGATCACCAAGCAGGTACTTCTCATACCCATCAAGTAATTAACAAAAGTGGTGGCTAGGTACAGTGGCTCACGCCTGTAATCCCAGCACTTTGGGACGCTGAGGCGGGTGGATCACGAGGTCAGAAATTCGAGACCCACCTGACCAACATGGTGAAACCCCGTCTCTACTAAAAATACAAAAATTAGCCGGGCATGGTGGCATGCGCCTATAATCCCAGCTACTCAGGAGGCTGAGGCTCGAGAATCGCTTGAACCCAGGAGGGTGAGGTTGCAGTGAGCCGAAATTGCACCACTGCACTCCAGCCTGGGCAGCAGAGAGAGACTCCATCTCAAAAAAAAAAAAAAAAAAGAAAAAAGAAAAGAAAAGAAAAGAAAAGAAAAGAAAAAGTGGTAATGAGTTTTCCCTGAGGTTAGAGTACAGAAAATCTATGTATTGTAAAATCTCAAAGTCTAGCTAGGTATAAGAGAGTAACAAGGGGCATCAAGAGCAATATATAAAATCAAATTATTTCATGTCATTTTGGCAAACCGAGAGTACAATATTAACAAATCTATGCATTACAGCCCAGTTGCTTTACAAAACCCATGATACAGTTATTACATATCAAGAAACTAAATCATAAACAATAGACATGCGTCTCTCTTTAGGAAAATTCAGTATGAGAAATCCTAAATTACAAAAAGCTGCAAGATGCTCTAATATAAGATTTTAAGAAAAAAATTGCCTAAGAATTTAATGTTAGCTGTGATATACATAAATGTGTGTAGATATTTTCAGAAATAATAAAAATTGGTATTAATAGTTAATCAACACAGGACTGGACTTGCTTTATCATTATTTTCACCATAAAAATAAAAAACATTTATTCCTTTGACACTTGTGATATTTGGCACCAAATTTTAGAATAAGGCTACCAAAGTGAACTCAGGGCCCTCTGCCCCAGAATCACAAAATGAAGCAAATACATCCAGCCTGTGATGACATGAAAAAGCTGGGCACCACATCCTGATGTGGCAGGTATGAAAACTGAAACGAGAGTAAAAGAAGCATTTGTAAATAAAAGGTATTGAAGTTTCGGATACATGGGTCTTTGAAAGGAATTGAGACAATGAATTTGTGTGTATCTGAAAGACAGAATGACTTAAGAGGGGAAGAGTTAAGAAGTACTAAGAATTTCATTCTGTGTGTGGCAGGGTTATATTACAAGAAGTTAGCCAAGTCATTTTTATAAAAAGAGAAAACATTATAGACTGAATAGAATTGAAGTTGTGTCCTTTCCCATAAAAATCTCATGCTTTTCAGATGTAATCATTCTATTTAGATAAAAGCTATTGAAAAAATATAATTGGTTATAATAAATTTGATTACTAAGAGATGAATCATCGGTTTTGCTTCCTACTTGAAAATAATACTGACCATATAAAATAAGAAGTAAAGATTTAGAAGAATGTCTTTGTGTATTCACACATACACAAAAAATGATTGTTTACTTCCCTCTCCTGGTCTCATTAGGGTTTCAAAGATGCAAGGATGTATAGATTATTGAGACAGGAAAAATTGACATTATTAGATTCTTTGCCTCAGTGTAAATTTTTTTTTTTAAAAAAAGATTCCTACATGCACCCATCCGGAAGAATTTCTCAAAATAATTATCCTATTCATTTATATTCCACAAAGTTGCCAGATCTAGTTTAGCAATGTAAAACTTGTCAAGAAAGATAAGACTTCTGACCTTACAGAGCTTACCTTCTAATTGAAAAGATAAAAAGAAAATAAAAATGGCTCAAAACACAATACAAAATTTCTGAGAAGAATTATGAAGGAAATAAACAAGTAGTGATAGACAGTAACTGGGATGGAGGGCATTTTAACAGGTCACCAAGACAAGAATCACTCTCAGAGGAGGAGATATTTGTACTGAGGCCTAAAGAATAAGGAGTATGGCCCATGAAAAGCAGGAAAAGGAACTATCCAGGTAGAAGGTTTGGAAATGGAAGACCCTGAGGAAAGATAGAAGCTGGGCTTTTTGGAGAATGAAAAGATACTGCTGTAGCTGGTGCATAAATGTCTTCATTCACTCCAGCTGCTGTAATGGAATACCATAGACTGGGTGACTTATAAACAACAGAAATGTATTTCTCACTGATCCGGAGGCTGGAAAGTTCAAGATCAAAGCACCAGTGAACTTGGTTCTGGTGAGGACTACTTCCTGGCTCATAGACAGCAGTCTCACTGTGTCCTCACATGGAAGGGACTAACTAGCTCCCTGGAGTTTCTTTTATAAGGGCACTAATCCCATTTATGAAACCTTTGCCCCATGATCTGATCACCTCTCAAAGACCCCATTTCCAAATACCATCACATTGGCAGTTAGGTTTTAACATGTGATTCTAGGGGGCACATAAACACTCAGTCTATAGCAATAGTGTACAAGAAGAAAAAATCTAATGTTAGCAGGGCCTAGATCATATAGGGCCTTGGGAACATGGAAAGATTTTTAACTTTTATTTCCAGATGCCTTAGGAAACCGTTGAAAGGCTTGAAAAGGGCTAGTGACTTTTGTGTATCTGTTTAAACTATTCTGATGGTATTATCTCTAACAGATTTTATAAGACTATTGGAGTGGTCCTGACAAAAGATAATTATGCCTAGGACAAGGGCAATGGCAGTGGGGATGTAGATAAGTGGACAAATTTTAAATCTCTTCTGGAGATATAATATTCAGAACTTGCT
Source organism: Homo sapiens (assembly GCF_000001405.40). Lineage (NCBI taxonomy): Eukaryota > Metazoa > Chordata > Mammalia > Primates > Hominidae > Homo > Homo sapiens. The sequence goes on along the minus strand of NC_000006.12, from coordinate 63,861,290 downwards.
GGGAAGAGTGTGAAAAGGTTAGAACCAAGAACAACATCAGGTTTTCTTTGTCTGAACTATAGTGTAGATGGTGGTGCCATGAAAAAGAATAGAGGCATAACAGCTTCTTTTGTAGGAAACCGTTTATTATATTGGGAGGTAAACAAGAGTTTTATTTTGTACAAATGAAGAAAAAGATGCCAGTTAGACATCCAAAGGGAGATGATATGTAGACAATTGGATATATGATGCTGGTGCTCTGAAGCAAGATAAGGACTAAAGGTATAATCCAGGGGAATCATTAAAATAAAGGTGGTGTTTAAAACCACAGAATTGTAGATTGTCTAAGGAGAAAATATAGAAGAGAAATATAAAGAAGAGAAAGTGTAGATAAAGAAAAGAAGATTTTAAAAGAGCAGATAAATCCTAGAGAAACCTTCCACAATGCCAATATTTAGATATCTGGTAGAGGAGAGAAAGCCATATTAAATGCCAGTACCATACCCTGACAAACACTCCTCTCATCTCTCAGCCCATAGATGTTGCTCCTATTATGATGTGGCATTGTCTTAGTCTGGGACCTCCATAAAAATAGAACCTGGATAAGAATTGCATTCAGGTCGTTTACTTAGGAAATGATTCCAGGAAATAGGAGAGAAGATCTAGTGAGAATAAAATGGGGTAGGAGAGAAAGTCAGTGCAAAGGCGCACAGGGCATTGAACATCACTGTGGGCAACTTGTGCGTGATTTCACTCAGATCTTATGAGGAGCTATACAAAAAGTCTCACAATTGGCTGCCCAAGGGGCAAAAGAGAGAAATGTTTGACCATTGTCTCATGGTTCTTTTTGATTGAAGGTTTCCCTACAAGACATTAATATTCCCACACTTCTAGATTGCCATGCAAGACTGCTGAGAGTACAAGCTTTAGCAGGCATCTTAGGTGACAGCATCAGAAAAGCTGGAGGTTATAGAAAGAGAGCTTAACATATCAATATTCCATCACATATCAATATTCAATATTTTTGAGTCACAAAAAAATCCCCCTCGAGTGTTAGCTCCCTCCAGAAACCTTTTTTACATCAACAGGCATCAATACTTTCTATACCCCACCAACTAGTATGAGGTGATATCCCAAGCCATCTATTGGATCATTCACTGTTACTACTATGACCTCTAGAAGATTGTCTAGAATATACTTAATATATATTTATTTTATAAAGAAAGGCAAAAAGCAATCCAATAAGCCTAGCTGTTGTTCAATTACAACTACACTGTAGAAGAGGCACAGAATAACATCTGGGACTTTGCCTTTTTGCTAATACCAGAGGATGAAAAATCAGCTAGTTTTATTTCATCAGCAATTGTGTCTACTACATAGCACTTTTCTTCCAAATTATGTCCATATCTACCATCTTAATATGTTCTTTGGGGGACAATAGAAAATATAATTATCACATTTCCTACCTTGTTGATATTTCCACTGAGGAATTCATCCAGGGGTAATCGTGGCAGTGATGGCCGGAGCCGAGACAAACAAACACTGCAGATGGGAAGTTTGCAGCTGCTTTCCTTTTTAAACAGCTTTACTTTCCACATTTGTGCTCCTCATTCACACTTCCTGTTGCCTCTCCTTATGCAAGAATAATCTCTTCTTTTTTTTTTTTTTTTCTGGTGGCAGTAGCATTTATTAGAATGTTCTCTTAATGTATAAAGCCCAGCCCAGGTTTTTTTGTTTTCTTAATCACACCATTCTAAAGACAAAGGTGGAATGCGTTATCTCTTGCTCTCTTTTGTCCTTTCTATAAATATTTCATAATAATTTACCTTATCTTCCCAACTTAAGCCTCTCAATGGAACATGGTCCTTGAGGAAAGCAGTGTAACTACCTAAGAATAGGCTCCAGAATCAATCTGCCTGGGTTAAAATTTCCATTTTAGTACTGACTAGCCAGCTGAGTGACTTGGGCAAGTCACTTGGTCTCTCTGTACTTCAATTTCAATGAGTCTAATAATAGAACTTACCTTATAGGTTTTATGAGAATTAAATGAGATAATGCATGTAAAGTGCTTAACACATAATGGGCATATAGAAAATGCTTTTGTTTTTTAAGGGTGGTCAAAGTAGGATCCTTACCCTTACAGGAAACTGCTACCTCCTGTCATTGTGGGACAGAAGGCTGCATCTCCATCCCAGCTATTAAAAAAAAAAAAAAAAAAAAAAAAAAAAAAAAAAAACTCTCTAGGACATCAATGGAAATCAAAATTAATTTTCTTTTAAGAATTTTTCTAAGATGGTGACACTCTGCAGTGATTAAAGACAAGCCAAGGTATTACAAAATCAGGGAGGAAAGTAGAGCTCCAGGGACACGAATAATCACCAGGCTATTTAGGGACATGATACCTCTATAAAGCAGCTTAATGTCAGGCTGACATTTTGTAATGGCATATTTCAAGAACATGCAATTTTCTGTCATGTTAAGCTCATAACTCTTTTGATAGCATCCACTCTGATATGATCCAGCTTTCTCTCTCCAACTCAACAGCTGTTTGATTGCCCCACCGTTCAACACATCTTAGTATCCCTCATTTCCCACCATGTTTTAATCTTTATTTTCCAGTTCCTTGTTACAAAGAAATACTAAAAGGTCAAGCCTAATCCCAGACAGGAGCAAGGAGACAGGAATGAGAAAAAAAGTGCTCAAGAAAGTGATTCCTCTTTCTCTCTGTTGAAGGCAGACTTTGAATGGCCTGCACTTTTTATTCCATAAGAACTGAGGGAAGTTGCCTTTCCTCTTGCTCAGGGAAAAAGTGAGCACCTCCTGCCTTTCACTTTTTCCCTCTACTTCAGCATCTGTAGAGAGAAAAAGTTAGGTTGGCACATATTTAAAAGCAGCACTTATAAATGTGTATTTCAGTGTACACATTTCAGTTCTTAAAAAATAGCTTTGATGGGCCAGGCATGGTGGCTCACGCCTGTAATCCTAGTACTTTGGGAAGCCGCGGTGGGTGGATCACCTGAGGTCAGGAGTTCAAGACCAGCCTAGCCAAATAATTTACAGTAAAATCAAATTTCTATTTCAATACAACATATCAGATCAATTGTATCTTTATGGTTGTTTGTTGCTATAAATTTATTGATACCAGGAAAATTGTCACATTTAAAATTCTTAATAGTTTTGGCACAGGTGAAATCTTCTCGTTTTGCTAAGTCCCTGAGCTCTTTGAACAGGCTGACCTTATGCATCGGCCTCTTCCCCAGGCACCCTGGTCCCCTCTTTCCAGAATGCTACCTGCTCTGGCCTCAAGGCTACTTTTACTCCCCCTCACGTTAAATTTAGGTGAACATTTAATGCTATCACATATCTAGCCAATGGTGTTCTGCAGAAAACATGCAGCTTCTCTGACAAGAAAACTAAGAGTCCCCACCCCAAAGAGGACTTCATACCATTTTCCCGATGCTTGCTGACAAGGAAGAGGAACCAGATAAGGATATTTTTTGTGTATCCTCCTTATTATTCATAAAATTGCCTGTAATTGTCAGTGTTGTAATGTCTTCAAAGTTTTATGTCTCAGATGCTCATCAAAGCATTGGATGGCAAAAAGGTCAACATCCACATCAAACTTATTGGCAAACAAGTAGTGCTTGAGTAGCATCCAGTTCAAGTCTCCAGCTCCAGAAAATGCACACTGAGCACACGTGGACCCCATCACACGGTGGTCATGGAGCACCCTAGGAAACATACACTTAAAGTTCTACCACTTGACAGAGCTAGCAATTGCGTGCATGTCAGAGAAATAGTACTTATGGCTTTGAAGAGTAAGCCGGGCACTTCAGGGAATCCTCTGGACACTGGCCCAGAGATACTCATCTCATACAGATACAAATACTGTATTAGTGCACTCTTGATTGTACGTGGGTCACTAATGTACCCAGCTAAGTTTCCTATCCTCCCTTAGAGCTTAAAATGTGGCCATGGGACTAAATTCTGGAAAATCAGATGTAAGCAGAAGTGTTAGAGTATTATATTGACCTCTGGAAAATCTCTTGAAGAGTAGCATGACCTCCAAATCTTCCTTCTTTCTGAAGTCTAGAATGTCCATGAGATGTCTTGAATTCCAGAAGTCATCTCGGACTACGAAGTCACCTTGAGAATTAAAGATACATGCTAAGATGGTGAAGCAAAATGATGAAAGAAGTTTAAATCCTTAACTATAAAACCACCATACTAGCCTGGAAATGTTCAGTAAGAAACTTTCTGTTAATGACAGAAATAATTTATTTTGCTTAAACCTCTGCTTTTTAATAAGTTGTCTGTTATATGGAGCTAAATCTAATCGTGATATAAGTGTCAAGATTTCCCTGAACTACATATTTCAATATGTTTTATTAAGTGTATCTGATTTTGTTCATAAACTCTTAGACTCCTTCTCAAACAAAACCAGGATTTCTTGTATTATATTTATCTTATTTCAGTCTAATAGATTTGATAAATTATAAGTTTATAAAATACATTTTTGCAATCCAGTGAAACTGTGTTAAAATTTTTTAATCCAAAGAAATATCATGGGAAGCAGAAAAATATACAACCATATTTTTCTAAGTTAGCAAAATAATAAGAAAAGATATTTTATATATTTCTTTTGAACCATTACCTCTCATCTTAAAACTATTTCCATGAGGCAGTTTCTACTTACACTAAATGGAAACCAAATTAGTTTGCAGATTTTTACATCTCAATTCCTAGGGAGCTACACATCTGTTATTGTCCACTTTTACACAGAGAACAGACTATTCACTATCAAACTCTGACTGTTTGCCTCTGTCAGAACACTGACTGTCAGTAGAACACTAAACTCTCAAGGCCAAATGTTCTCCTTTCTGTTTATTCCAGCACTTTGTCATTATTTAGCAACCTCACAGAATTCTCCCTTCCGACAGAAGCATTTCCTGCTTTTTAAAAAGGTCTAAAATAGAGAGACTATATATTCACAGAAGGCAGAGTGGTCTCTCCTGAATATACTTATGGCAAATTGGTCTTGCAGACCATGTGTGGAAAGTAAACCTCTGTAGTTTATTCTCAAGCTCACCAGAGACTTTTACCTTGCAGGTCTGTCAGTCCAGGCCCTTTAGCAAAGAGTCATTGCTTCATATCAAATGAATACTGTCAGATCCCACCACACCTATCAGGCTCTGCTTGGTTGGTTTAAGAGCTATGTTAATGTGATGCACCTGCCAGTTAGCAAGCAACGGAAGGCACAAACACATTTGTGATACATAAAAAAAAAAAAAAAAAACTTCACTGAAACAAAAAATTAATTAGAGTCTGAGTAAATTTTTGCCACAGGAAAAACTGTGAAGTTATTTTGTTCAAGCTTTTGTTTATATTCAGTGACATGCTTATATTGTGTGTTTTCTAATATTTTGTCCCTTCATCCCTTTGACCTTGAAAGTGGCCTATTTTCCTTAGGATAAAGTAAGAACTGTTTAAAATGATGTGCAAGTTTTGCATGGGCAGACCTCAGCTAACCCAATAGCCCCCATCTTCTTCACCCTTTATCAGAACACTCTTTAAACTATTTTGCATTTACCTTGTAAACACTGGCCATAAATCATACCAGTCCTTTCCTCATACTCTAAGTTTCATGAAGGTAGACACCCTATCTGCCTCGGCCATCATCATATCTGCAGAGCAGTACATGGTGTCTGACACATGGTAGGTTCTGAAATTTTTTTCTGAGTTAAAAATAATTTAAAAGTCCTTCAGAATATTCAGCTATGTATGCTGTTGCCCTGAGCCTACTACTACACCTATACTTAGGAGATAATCATAAGTATTTGTGAAATTTTAAAAAGTATCTTAATAATATAATCAGTGAGTGAATAGTCTAATCTGAAATATTTCCAGAAGTATTTTTCACAGTACACTAGTGCGATAAGATACCCATAAGCTAGGCATTGGACTAAGTGCTTTACATTCATCTTCTTATATAATCTGTGTAATAACCCAAGGAGATACATCATTATTGCCATTGTACAGATGGAAAAACTGAAGTTCAGTGAGTTTAAATAACCAGTCTAAAGTGATATTGTTCATGAGTGGCAGACCCAGATCTGGAATCTCTGACTTGTCTTTCTTTAGATCACTACACAGTACTCTATTGCCCTTTCAGGAATTCACCATGTGCGGTAGCACAGTAAAAACTCTAAGAATTCCTGCAATAACAGCATTAAACCAAGGAATTCTTCTTTCTCACATGACAAGGCTTTCAAAGAGTATACCAGTCTAATGGTTCCCAGAGTGGAGTATACAGACTCCATTGTGATATTGGAAGAAAATATTAATTCTCTTTTTATCTCGATCCTTTAATTTCTATTTTTTGTGGGTTTCATGAGGTCTACATTATATGAGAAGATGTATAGAATTTTAAGTAAATAATGTCTGTGAAGCAAGATTAAACAAGCTTGGAGACCACTAATCTAGACAATTATCTTCCAAACATAATTTGAGATTTTTATTCCTTCTATTGATTTCATGGGACTGATTTCAAGTAACTGATTTCAAATTATGGTTAAATTATGCTTAAACTGCTTGGGATTTAGCATATATTATATACATAATTTATTATATAATTTCAACTAGCTGTGATTGATGGAGGAAACAATGAAGTGGCTTTTTTATTGTAATTATTATTATACTTTAAGTTCTGGGATACATGTGCAGAACATGCAGGTTTGTTACATAGGTATACATGTGCCATGGTGGTTTGCTGCACCCATTAACCTGTCATCTAGGTTTTAAGCCCCACTTGCATTAGGTATTTGTGCTAATCCTATGCCTCCCCTTGCCACCCACCCCCTGATAGGCCTCGGTGTGTAATGTTCCCCTCCCTGTGTCCATGTGTTCTCATTGTTAACTCCCAATTATAAGTGAGAACATGTGGAGTTTGGTTTTCTGTTCCTGTGTTAGTTTGCTGAGAATGATGGTTTCCAGCTTCATCCATGTCCCTACAAAGGACATGAACTCATTCTTTTTTATGGCTACATAGTATTCCATGGTATATATGTGCCACGTTTTCTTTATCCAGTCTAACATTGATGGGCATTTGGTTTGGTTCCAAGTCTTTGCTATTGTGAATAGTGCTGCAATGAACATAGGTATGCATGTGTCTTTATAGTAGAATGATTTATAATCCTTTGGGTATATACCCAGTAATAGGATTGCTGGGTCAAGTGGTATTTCTAGTTCTAGATCCTTGAGGAATCACCACACTGTCTTCCACAAGGTTAAACTAATTTACACTCCCACCAACAGTGTAAAAGCATTCCTATTTCTCTAAATCCTCTCCAGCAACTGTTGTTTCAGTTTCAGTTTTCTGCATATGACTAGCCAGTTTTCCCAGCACCATTTACTAAATAAGGAATCCTTTCCCCATTGCTTGTTTTTGTCAGGTTTGTCAAAGATCAGATGGTTATACATCTGTGGTGTAATATCTGAGGCCTCTGTTCTGTTCCATTGGCCTACATATCTGTTTTGGTACCAGTACCATGCTGTTTTGGTTACTGTAAACTTGTAGTATAGTTTGAAGTCAGGTAGTGTGATGCCTCCAGCTTTGTTCTTTTTGCTTAGGATTGTCTTGGGTATATGAGCTCTTTTTTGGTTCCATATGAAATTTAAAGTAGGTTTTTCTAATTCTGTGAAGAAAGTCAATGGTAGCTTGATAGGAATAGCATTGAATTTATAAATTACTTTGGGCAGTATGGCCATTTGCACGACATTGATTCTTCCTATCTATGAGCATGGAATGTTTTTCCATTTGTCTGTGTCCTCTCTTATTTCCTTGAAGAGTGGTTTGTAGTTCTCCTTGAAGTGGTCTTTCTCATCCTTTGTCAGTTATATTCCTAGGTATTTCATTCTCTTTGTAGCAATTGTGAATGGCAATTCACTCATGATTTGGCTCTATGTGTGTCTATTATTGACGTATAGGAATTCTTGTGATTTTTGCATATTGATTTTGTGTTCTGAGACTTTGCTGAAGTTGCTTATCAGCCTAAGGAGATTTTGGACTGAGACGATGGGGTTTTCTAAATATACAATCATGTCATCTGCAAACAGAGACAATTTGACTTCCTCTCTTCTTATTTGAACACCCATTATTTCTTTCTCTTGCCTTATTGCCCTGGCCAGAGCTTCCAATACTATGTTGAATAGGAGTGGTGAGAGAGGGCATCCTTGTCTTATGCCAGTTTTCAAAGGGAATGCTTCCAGCTTTTGCCCATTCAGTATACATTGAATATGGGTTTGTCATAAATAGCTCTTATTATTTTGAGATATGTTCCATCAATACCTAGTTTATTGAGTGTTTTTAGCATGAAGGGGTGTTGAATTTTATCAAAGGCCTTTTCTGCATCTGTAGGGATAATCATGTGGTTTTTTGTTATTGGTTCTGTTTATGTGATGGATTACATTTATTGATTTGCATATGTAGAACCACCCTTGCATCCCAGGGATGAAGTCGACTTGATCGTGGTAGATAAGCTTTTTGATGTGCTACTGGATTCAGTTAGCTAGTATTTTATTAAGGATTTTTGGATTGATGTTCATCAGGGATACTGGCCTGAAATTTTCTTTTTTTGTTGTGTCTCTGCCAGGTTTTGGTATCAGGATGATGCTAGCCTCATAAAATGTGTTAGGGAGGAGACCCTCTTCTTCTATTGTTTAGAATAGTTTCAGAAGGAATGGTACCAACTCCTCTTTGTACCTCTGGTAGAATTCAGCTGTGAATTCATCTGGTCCTGGGCTTTTTTTGGTTGGTAGGCTATTAATTATGGTCTCAATTTCAGAACTTGTTATTGGTCTATTCAGGGATTTGATTTCTTCCTGGTTTAGACTTGGGAGTGTCTGTGTGTGTCCAGGAATTTATCAATTTCTTAAAGATTTTCTAGTTTATTTGCATAGAGGTGTTCATAGTATTACCTGATGGTAGTTTATATTTCTGTGGGATCAGTGGTGATCTCCCCTTTCTCATTTTTTATTGTGTATATTTGATTCTTCTCCCTTTTCTTATTAGTCTGGCTAGGGTTCTATTTTGTTAATATTTTCAAAAAACCAGCTCCTCAATTCATTGATTTTTTTTTTTTTTTTTTTTTTTTTTTGAGACAGAGTCTCGCTCTGTCGCCCAGGCTGGAGTGCAGTGGCGGGATCTCGGCTCACTGCAAGCTCCGCCTCCCGGGTTCACGCCATTCTCCTGCCTCAGCCTCCCAAGTAGCTGGGACTACAGGTGCCCGCCACTACGCCTGGCTAATTTTTTGTATTTTTAGTAGAGACGGGGTTTCACCGTTTTAGCCGGGATGGTCTCGATCTCCTGACCTCGTGATCTGCCCGCCTCGGCCTCCCAAAGTGCTGGGATTACAGGCATGAGCCACTGCGCCCGGCCAATTCATTGATTTTTTAAGGGTTTTTTGTGTCTCTATCTCCTTCAGTTCTGCTCTGATCTTAGTTATTTCTTGTCTTCTGCTAGCTTTTGAATTTGTTTGCTGTTGCTTCTCTAGTTCTTTAAATTGTGATGTTGGGTGTCAGTTTTAGAGCCTTCCCACTTTCTGATGTGGGCACTTAATGCTATAAATTTCCCTCTAAACACTGCTTTGGCTGTGTCCCAAAGTTCTGATATGTTGTGTCTTTGTTCTCATTAGTTTCAAATAACTTATTTATTTCTGCCTTAATTTCTTTATTTACCCAGTAGTCATTCAGGAGCAGGTTGTTCATTTTCCATGTAATTGTGCAGTTCTGAGTGAGTTTCTTAATCCTGAGTTCTAATTTAAATGCACTGTGGTCTGAGAGACTGTTTGTTATGATTTCCATTCTTCTGCAGTTGCTGAGGGGTGCTTTACTTCCAATTATGTGTCAATTTTAGAATAAGTGTGATGTGGTGCTGAGAAGAATGTATATTCTATTGATTTGGGGTGGAGAGTTCTGTAGATGTCTATTAGGTCCACTTGGTCCAGAGCTGAGTTCACATCCTGAATATTCTTGTTAATTTTCTCTCTATTGACTTGTCCAATATTGCCAGTGGGGTGTTACAGTCTCCCACTATTATTGTGTGCGAATCTAAGTCTCTTTGTAGGTCTCTAAGAACTTGCTTTATGAATCTGGATGATCCTGTATTGGGTGCGTATATATTTAGAATAGTTAGCTCTTCTTGTTGCATGAATCCCCTTACATTATGTAATGCCCTTCTTTGTCTCTCTTGATCTTTGTTGGTTTAAAGTCTGTTTTATCAGAGACTAGGATTGCAACCCCTGCTTCTTTTTGCTTTCCATTTGCTTGGTAAATATTCCTCCATCCCTTTATTTTGAGCCTATGTGTGTCTTTGCATGTGAGATGGGTCTCCTGAATACAACACACCAAGGGGTCTTGACTCTTTATCCAATTTGCCAGTCTGTGTCTTTTAATTGGGGCATTTAGCCCATTTACATGTAAGGTTAATATTGTTATGTGTGAATTTGATCTTGTCATTATGATGATAGCTGGTTATTTTGCACATTGTTTGGTCAGTTTCTTCATAATGCTCTTGTTCTTTATATTTTCGTATGTTCTTGCAGTGGCTGGTACCGGTTTTTCTTTTTCATATTTAGTGCTTCCTTTAGGAGCTCTTGTAAGGCTGACCTGGTGGTCACAAAATCCCTCAACATTTGCTTGTCTGTAAAGGAATTTATTTCTCCTTCGCTTATGAAGCTTAGTTTGACTGGATATGAAATTCTGGGTTGAAAATTCATTTAAGAATGTTGAATATTGGCACCCGCTTTCTTCTGGCTTGTAGGGTTTCTGCAGAGACATCCACTGTTAGTCTGATGGGCTTCCCTTTGTGGGTAACCCAATCTTTCTCTCTGACTGCCCTTAACATTTTTTTTCCTTCATTTCAATCTTGGTGAATCTGATGATTATATGTCTTGGTGTTGCTCTTCTCAATGACTATCTTATTGGTGTTCTCTGTATTTCCTGAATTTGAATGTTGGCCTGTCTTGCTAGATTGGGGAAGTTCTCCTGGATAATATCCTGAAGTGTGTTTTCCAACTTGGTTCCATTCTTTCTGTCACTTTCAGATACACCAATCAATCATAGGTTTGGTCTTTTCCCATTGTCTCATATTTCTTGGAGGCTCTGTTTGTTCCTTTTCATTCTTTTTTCTCTAATCTTGTTTTCATGCTTTATTTCATTAAGTTAATCTTCAATCTCTGATATCCTTTCTTCCACTTGATCAATTCAGCTATGGATACTTGTGTATGCTTCATGAAGTTCTTGTGCTGTGTTTTTCAGCTCCATCAGATCATTTATGTTCTTCTCTAAACTAGTTATTCTAGTTAGCAATTCCTCTAACCATTTATCAAGGTTCTTAGCTTCCTTGCATTGGTTAGAACATGCTCCTTTAGCTCAGACGAGTTTGTTATTACCCACCCTCTAAAGCCTACTCCTGTCCATTTGTGTAACTCATTCTCCATCCAGTTTTGTTCCCTTGCTGACAAGGTGTCTTGATCCTTTGGAGGAGAAGAGGCATTCTGGTTTTTGGAATTTTCAGCATTTTTGCACTGGTTTTTCCTCATCTTTGTGGGTTTATCTACCTTTGATCTTTGATGCTATTGACCTTTGGATGGGGTTTTTATGTGGGTGTCCTTTTTGTTGATGTTGATGTTCTTGCTTTCTGTTTGTTAGTTTTCCTTCTAACAGTCAGGCCCCTCTTCTGCAGGTCTGCTGCGGTTTGCTGGAGGTCCACTCCTGACACTGTTTGCATGGGTATCACCAGTGGAGTCTGCAGAATAGTAAAGCTTCTTCCAGATGCTTCATCCCAGAGGGGCACCAGACAGATGCCAGCCAGTGCTCTCCTGTATGAGGTGTCTTTCAACCACTGCTGGGAGGTATCTCCCAGTCAGGACCCACGAGGTTCAGGGACCCATTTGAGGAGGTAGTCTGTCCCTTAGCAAAGCTTGAGCACTGTGCTGGGAGATCTGCTGCTCTCTTCAGAGCCAGCAGGCAGGAACCTTTAAGTATGCTGAAGCTGGGCCCACAGCCACCCCTCTCCCCAGGTGCTCTGTCCCAGGGAGATGGGAGTTTTATCTGTAAGCCTCTGACTGGGGCTGCTGCCTTTCTTTCAAAGATGCCCTGCCCAGAGAGGAGGAATCTAGAGAGGCAGTCTGGCTACAGTGGCTTTGTGGTGCTGTGGTGGGCTCCGCCTAGTCTGAACTTCCCAATGGCTTTGTTTACACTGTGAGGGGAAAACCGCCTACTCAAGCTTCAGTAATGGTGAACAACCCTCCTCCTCCGACGAAGCTCAAGCATCCCAGGTTGACTTCAGACTGCTGTGCTGGCAGCAAGAATTTCAAGCCAGTGGATCTTAGCTTGCTGGGCTCCATGGAGGTGGGATCCGCTGAGCAAGACCACTTGGCTGCCTGGCTTCAGCCCCCTTTCCAGAGGAGTGAACAGTTCTGTCTCGCTGGGGTTCCAGGTGCCACTGGGGTATGAAAACTAACTCCTGCATCTAGATCAGTGTCTGCCCAAACAGCTGCCCAGTTTTGTGCTTGGAACCCAGGGCCCTGGTGATGTAGGCACCTGAGAGAATCTCCTGGTCTGAGGGTTGTGAAGACCATGGGAAAAGCATAGTATCTGGGCCAGATAGCACCATCCCTCGTGACACAGCCCCTCACAGCTTCCTGTGGCTAGGGGATGGAGTTCCCAGCCCCTTGCACTTCCTGGGTGAGGGGCACCCCACCCTGCTTCTGCTTGCCCTCCGTGGACTGCACCCACTGTCTAACCAGTCCCAATGAGATGAACTGGGTACCTCAGTTGGAAGTGCAGAAATATCACCCGCCTTCTCCGTTGGTCTTGCTGGGAGCTGCAGACCAGAGCTGTTCCTATTTGGCCATCTTGCCAATCCCCAAAGTGGCATATTTAAAACCTGCTTATTTTTAGTTTTTAAAACTATCCACAGACCCCAATACAATTAAGTTTACTTAAATTCTCTAAGCTCATACTAACAGAGATGTGGAAAAGATTAAACATTGTGAAAATACAATGTTTAAGACTATGGATGCAGAAGAGTGACTAAAACTTCAGCTAATACAGCAATCTCATCGTAAAAAGTCAAGGATTAAACATGCATGTATGTTTTACGGGCATTTTATGGAAATGTATTCATTTATGGTGGGCATTCTCAAACAGTAAGAACAAAATAAGGTCATTTCAGCCTAAACCAAGCAGAAACCACTTTTACTCCCTTCTCTGTGCTGTAATTTAATAAAAATAAAAAATGCTTCAAATTGCATTATGTATATATCACTCGGTTTGTTTTGATTTTCCCAATGAGTCAAATGACTTGACCCTTGCTTTATTATTTCTCCTTTTACCAAATGATGGCTTTTCAACATTTTAAGTACATTGAAAAGTATTCAACATTTGACAAAGAGCCACAAAATCATTTAATATGAATCTTCACTCATAAAATTGGGTATGTACAAATATAGACACTAAGTTATTTCTCATATATTTTGATAAGATCAACTAAACTTGAATAGACTGAAACTTTTAGAGGCATCATCATGTAATTGGAAAATTCCAAAGTAGAGAGCTTCATTGATTTTGTCAACTCAGGCAAAAAACAATTTCTTAAAGAAAAACATTAGTCTGGCAACAGAGTATTTTTAGAAAGACTCCCAGTTATTGTAGAATTGCCCAGTCAAAATAATTTAACTGGGTAATTCCAATAATCTCTTGGCTTATGTATATTATTAGTGACTTTACCACTGGCTTCTCAGATGTCTATCATTATGCATTTCTAAGACAAAAATTAATTTGGAAAAAGAGAGAAAGGGAGAGCAAACAGAGGGGATGGCAAGGAGGAGAGAAAAGAGAAAAAGGGAGAGGAAGGAAGAGGAGAGGGAGAGAGGGAAAGTATTTCTGAAAATTAATTATAGCTTGCAACCAAATTCTGACTTCATGTGTACCTACATTGCATTAAGATTATCCAGTGTATCCAAAATCTACATGTTTTCCCACAATGTTGAGTGTTCCACACGCCTTCCTTTGTTTAACTGAAAAACAAAATATAAGTCCAAAGGTAAGGATAAGTGGTCTTATATAATCAAGTCACAATCCCAATTTTGCTGTAATGGTGATATTGTAAAATCTGAATCTGAACATGAACTTCAAAAGGGAGTTATAAATACCCAATATCAGAAATATAACTCATGTCTCAAAACATATGAATTATTTAATGTTATCCATGTTTCCTGAAGGGCTATGTGAGTCTTTATTTTCCTAGGGAGAGATTGTTACAGGTATTCCTAAAAACCAGGCTTCACATTTATTTCTAGAATTAAAAAAAATAAATTTTAGAATTTAAATTTTTAAAAAGTTTGAAAAGCAAACAAGAATAGCTTGCAAAAGCTCATGTATTAATATATTTTAAATTTTTTTTATTGACCCCAAAGACAGACAAATGTAGGTCTATTTGTAGTTCTCTTGTTCTAATAAGATAGTGTGTGGGTCCTGAGTAAGGGATTTTTGCCAGCAGTGAATTAACTCTTTTCTGTCTCTGCCATCAGTCAGTCACTATAGAGCCTAACTGGTGTGTGAGTAGATTATAAAGTTAACACAGCTCTTTGAAAGTAAGCATTTTACTGCCCATTTTGATTTGTATTCTTGATTAAACACCTGGCAGGGAACATCCAATCTTTTCCAGAGGATAAATCTGAATATTGCACCTAGTGATTCAGTTTCAACAATGACATTTTGTAATTCTCTTTGCCATTCTAAAGTGGCCAAGGGTATTTTTGAATCTCATCTTTTTTTGTTCTTGTGTATTAAACCAACTTGAAATTGTTAAAGTGAGACTTTGTCTGCCCCAAGTCTTTAAGCTCTGGAGAAAGAAGAGCTGTCATCAGGGTGAGTGGCTGATAATTCTGCTTGTTGGAGTGTATCCCTGTCACTCTCCAGGTGGATGCCTTAACATGCACCTTGTTGACAGCAAACACCAAAGGGGGCTTCCCGGAGGAATACCACAGTGGCTGCCCTGCTGAGTGAGTCCCCTAAATACACGTCAGGGTTGTTTCTTTCTTAACTATGGAGAGTTGATTTTTCCTGAGATAGCTATATCCGTTGCATTTTAAGTTTGATGTCTATGTAAGCTTTAAAAATACAATGTTTAGGAAGTACATATTTCAGAGGTTTGTTGTATGTTTGTGGATTGTAAAATCCCTTTACAATGTTGCCAGTTTCTTACTGCCATTAAACCTCTCTCCTTTATGACTTGTTATAATAAACACTTCTGAGAAAAGTGCATCTTTAGGATCCTGAATTCTGAGCTTCTGCGTTTTAGTTTACACCAGTAGAGCAGAAGCAAAATTGAAAGCCTCAACAGCTATTTCTCCCACATATTATGATAGCTAGGGAATTATACAATTTCCCATCCTGCAAGTTAAAGGACTTAAGGTGCCTTTCTGCCAATATCTAAAAGCTCTTTTGGTTATTCAAACTAGCCCTGTTGGAACAGGAGAATATCAGAACACCTGTGCAATAAACAAAAGGCTACAAATTTATGGGTGTATTAAGTGAAGTCTAATTATAACTTGATAAAAAAAAGTCCCCTAGACAAAAACCCATTTCCAAAGAAGCAGCTTCTTTAAGAACAAACTTAGAAATCATTACATCCCAAATGTGCTGCTAGGTAAAATTGAAAAGAAGTGTTACTCACAGCCTTATATCTAGAAAGCAAAAGAACAACACCTCTTTTTTTTTCACCCTCCATTCTCTAGAGTAAAGGGCAGTGTGGTGCTGCGGTTTATTCCTTTAACATCTGCATGCCTTAATTAATGAACATCACTCTTTAAACAAACTCAAACAGATACAGTTTTATTAACCAAAAAAAAAAAAATCCTTGCATCATTTTATAGTGATTAAATTGAAGTTGGCAGTTTGAACTGTTAGTGTTGTGTAATGGGAAGGCTCTATACTTTGAGAACAAAGATGTGAAATAACCAGCTACATGGCCTTGAACAAGTCACTTTGACTCCTTGCATCTCACTTTCTTCATAGCTAATGAAAGAGTTGGAATAAATGCTCCCCCATCTTCAGTACCTTTAGGTTTACAATAGGGAAAATAAATTATGAGTTAAACTTACTCATTTTAAATGCAGCTGTATTTTGTGTCTCCTTCCTTGGAAGTCATTACAGTTCATGGCCACCCAAATGCAGAAAACTGAAACTGGACCCTTTCCTTACACCTTATACAAAAATTAACACAAGATACATTAAAGACTTAAATGTAAAACCCAAAACTATAAAAGCCCTAGAAGAAAATCTAGGCAATACCATTCAGAACATAGGCATTAGCAAATATTTCATGATAAAAACATCAAAAGCAATTGCAACAAAAGCAAAAATTGACAAATGGGACATAATTACATTAAACAGCTTCTGCACAGCAGAAGACTCTATCAACAGAGTGAACAGGCAACCTACAGAACAGGAGAAAATTTTTGCAATCTATCCATCTGACAAAGGACTATTATCCAGAATCTATAAGGAACTTAAACAAATTTACAAGAAAAAAATAAACAGCCCCATTAAAAAGCGTGCAAAGGATATGAACAGACACTTCTCCAAAAGGACATTTATGCAGCCAACAAAAATATGAAAAAAAAAAAGCTCAACATTACTAATCATTAGAGAAATGCAAATCAAAACCACAATGAGATATCCTCTTACATCAGTCCAAATGGTGACTATTAAGAAGTCAAGAAACAACAGATGCTGGAGAGGTTGTGGAGAAACAGGAATGCTTTTACACTGTGGGCGGGAATGTAAACTAGTTCAACCATTGTGGAAGACAGTGTGGACATTCCTCAAAGACTTAGAGGCAGAAATACCATTTGAGCCAGCAATCCAATTACTGAGTATATACCAAAAGGAAAATAAATGATTCTATTATA
Source organism: Homo sapiens (assembly GCF_000001405.40). Lineage (NCBI taxonomy): Eukaryota > Metazoa > Chordata > Mammalia > Primates > Hominidae > Homo > Homo sapiens. The sequence goes on along the minus strand of NC_000006.12, from coordinate 63,844,332 downwards.
AAGATGCTTGCATGCGTATGTTCATTGCAGCACTATTCACAATAGCAAAGACATTGAATCAACCAAAATGCCCATCAATGATAGACTGCATAGAGAAAATATGGTACATATACACTATGGGCTACTATGCAGCCATAAAAAGGAATGAATTCATGTCCTTTGCCGGGACGTGGATGGAGTTGGAAGCCATTATCCCCAGCAAACTAACACAGGAACAGAAAACCAAACACCCCATGTTCTCATTTACAAGTGGGAACTGAATGACTAGAACACATGGACACAGGGAGGGGAACAACACACAGTGGGGCCTGTCAGGGTGTGTGGGCTGAGGGAAAGCATCAGGAAAAATTGCTAATGGATGCTGGGTTTAATGCCCAGGTGATGGGTTGATCTGTGCAGCAAACCACCATGGCATGTGTTTACCTATGTAACAAACCTGCACACCCTGCACATGTACCCCAGAACTTAAAATAAAAGGTGAAGAGGTTTTCTAAGTATACAATCATGTCGTCTGCAAACAGAGATAATTTGACTTCCTGTCTTCCTATTTGAATACGCTTTATTTCTTTCTCTTACCTGATTGCCCTTGCCAGAACTTCCAATACTACGTTGAATAGGAATAGAGAGGGCATCCTTGTCTTGTGCTGGTTTTCAACGGGAATGCTTCCAGCTTTTGCCCATTCAGTATGATACTGACTGTGGCTTTGTCATAAATAGCTCTTATTATTTTGAGATACGTTCCATCAATACCAAGTTTATTGAGTGTTTTTAGCATGAAGGAGTGTTGGAATTTTATTGAAGATCTTTTCTGCGTCTATTGAGATAATAAGCCCCAAAACTCTGTAAGCTGATAAGCAACTTCAGCAAAGTCTCAGGATGTAAAATCAATGTGCGAAAATTACAAGCATTCCTGTACACCAATAATAGACAAACAGCCAAATCATGAGTGAACTCCCATTCACAATCGCTACAAAGAGAATAAAATACCTAGGAATAGAACTTACAAGGGATGAGAAAGCCCTATTCAAAAAGAACTACAAACTACTGCTCAAGGAAATAAGAGGACACAAACAAAAGGAAAAACGTTCCATGCTCATGGACAGGAAGAATCAATATCGTGAAAATGGTCATACTGCCCAAAGTAATTTATAAATTCAATGCTATTCCTATCAAGCTACCATTGACTTTCTTCACAGAATTAGAAAAACCTACTTTAAATTTCATATGAAACCAAAAAAGAGCTTGTATAGCCAAGACAATCCTAAGCAAAAAGAACAAAACTGGAGGCATCACACTACCCTGACTTCAAACTATACTACAAGTCTACAGTAACCAAAACAGCATGGTACTGGTACCAAAACAGATATGTAGGCCAATGGAACAGAACAGAGTCCTCAGACATAACACCACAGATGTATAACCATCTGATCTTTGACAAACCTAACACAAACAAGCAATGGGGAAAAAATTCCCTATTTAATAAATGGTGTTGGGAAAACTGGCTAGTCATATGCAGAAAACTGAAATTGGACCCCTTCCTTACACCTTATACAAACAGTAACCCAAGATGAATTAAATATTTAAGCATAAGAACTAAAACCATAAAAACTCTAGAAGAAAACCTAGGCATACCATTCAGGACATAGGCATGGGCAAAGACTTCATGACTAAAACACCAAAAGCAATGGCAACAAAAGCAAAAATAGATAAATGGGATCTAATTAAACGAAAGAGCTTCTCCACAGCAAAAGAAACTATCAACAGAGTGAACAGGCAACATACAGAATGGGAGAAAATTTTTACAACCTATCCATCTGATCAAGGGCTAATATCCAGAATCTACAAGGAACTTAAACAAACTTACAAGAAAAAAACAAGCCCCATCAAAAAGTGGGTGAAGGATATGAACAGACACTTTTCAAAAGAAGATATTTATGCAGGCAACAGATGTATGAAAAAAAGCTCATCATCACTGGTCATTAGAGAAATGCAAATCAAAACCACAATGAGACACCATCTCACACCAGTTAGGATGCCAATCATTAAAAAGTCAGGAAACAACAGATGCTGGAGAGGATGTGGAAAAATAGGAATGCTTTTACACTGTTGGTGGGAGTGCAAATTAGTTCAACCATTGTGGAAGCCAGTGTGGGGATTCCTCAAGGATCTAGAACTAGATATACCATTTGACCCAGCAATCTTATTACTGGTGTATACCCAAAGGATGATAAATCATTCTACTATAAAGACACATGCACACGTATGTTTACTGTTTCAGCACTATTCACAATAGCAAAGACATGGAACCAACCTGAATGCCCATCAATGATAGACTGGATAAAGAAAATGTGGCACATATACATGGAATACTATGCAGCCATAAAAAAAGAATGAGTTCATGTCCTTTGCAAGGACATAGATGAAGCTGGAAGCCATCATTCTCAGCAAACTAACACAGAAACAGAAAACCAAACCCCGCATGTTCTCACTCATAAGTGGGAGTTGAACAATGAGAACATATGGGCAGAGGGAGGGGAACATCACACACGGGTGCCTGTTGGGTGGCGGGGGGCAAAGGGAGGGATAGCATTAGGAGAAATACCTAATATAGATGATGGGTTGATGGGTGCAGCAAAGCACCATGGCACATGTACACCTATGTAACAAGCCTGCACGTTCTGCACATGTATCCCAGAACTTAAAGTATAATATAAAAAATAAAATAAAAGGTGAAGAAACAAAGAAGTCATTGCAGTTCATTACAAAATAGTAAGAGTTAGCAGGTCTTGAATGCTTGCAATACGGACACTGTTCTAAGTGCTTTATACAGTTTATCTCATTTAATCCCAAAGTTCACAAAAGTTAGCTATTACTATTATCCCCATTTTATAGATAAGAACACCAAAAATTAGAGAAGATATGTAACTAATACAAGAACTGGCTAATTAGTGGCAAAGTTGTAATTAGAACCCTTAAAACCTGTGGTTTTAACTTTTATATTACTCTGAATCCCATGAATATGTTTCAAATACAATGATTCTGTTATATTGTATTTAAAGGAAAACCTAATATAGAAATGATTACTGATTATGTTAGCAAAAACTGAAATAACTATCTTTTTAAAGATAACTTAAGTATAGAATTATGAATCATTAATCTAGTCTTACCATGTGACTAAAATTATATTTAAACAAACCTAAGCACTTGGGAAGATATGTTAATTATCAATTATAATTTGAGCCGTTAGCACAGATATGTATTAAATTTGACATTAACATGCTTTATATTTCTTAGTACTAGAAATTATCTGTTTAAGTTGAACTACAAAGACTTTGAATAGCCAAGGCAATCTTGAGAAATAGAACAAAGCTGACTTCAAAATATAGTCAAAGCTAGAGTAACCAAAACAGCAAGGTACTAGCATATAAACAGACACATTGACTAATGGAACAGAATAGATTCCCCCAGAAATAAATTCATATATTTAAAGCCAACAGATTTTTGACAAAGATGCAAGGACATTCACTAGGGAAAAGACAGTGTCTTCAATAAATGGTGCTGGGAAAACTGGATATCCCTATGTAGAAAAATGAAACTAGACCCCTCTCTCTTAGCATATACAAAAGCCAACTAAAAATGAATTAAAGACTTAAATTTAAGACCTGAAACTCTAAAACTACTAGAAGAAAACATAGGATGAATTCTTGAAGACATTAGTCTAGGCAAAGATTTTATAGAGAAGACCTCAAAATCACAGACAACAAAAGCAAAAATAGACAAATAGGATTCGATCAAACTAAAAGATTTCTGCACCGCAAAGGAAAAAAAATCAACAGAGTGAAATGACGACCTACAGAATGAAAGAAAATATTTGCAAACTATTCAGCCTACCAGGGATTAATATCCAGAATATACAAGGAACTCAAGCAACTCAATAGCAAAACAAACAACAATCCAATTAAGAAATGGGGCTGGGCGTGGTGGCTCATGCCTGTAATCCCAGCACTTTGGGAGGCCGAGGCAGGTGAATCACGAGGTCAAGAGATGGAGACCATCCTGGCTAACACAGCGAAACCCTGTCTCTACTAAAAATACAATAATAATAATAATAATAATAATAAGATGGGCATGGTGGCAGGCAACTGTAGTCCCAGCTACTCAGGAGGCTGAGGCAGGAGGATGGCATGAACCCAGGAGGCAGAGCTTGCAGTGAGCAGAGATCATGCCACTACACTCCATCCTGGGCAACAAAGCGAGACTCCGTCTCAAAAAAAAAAAAAAAAAGAAATGGGCAAATGAGCTGAATAGACATCTCTCAAAAGAAGATATACAAATGCCCAACTGGTATATTAAAAAAAATGCTCAAAATCATTTATCAGCAAGGAAATGCAAACCAAAACCACAATGAGATATCATCTTACCCCAGTTAAAATGGTTATTATCAAAAATAGGAAAAATAACAAATGCTGGCGAGGATGTACACTTACATTACTGTTGGTGAAACTGTAAACTAGTCCAGCCATTGTGGAAAACAGTGTGGAGGGTCCTCAAAAAACTAAAAATAGAACTGCCATGTGATTCAACAGTTCCACTGCTGGGTATGTATCCAAAGAAAGGAAAGCAGTGTGTCAAAGGGATGTTCTGCACTTCTCGTGTTTACTGGAGCACTACTTACAATAACCAAGGCTGGGCACTGTGACTCATACCTGTAATGTCAGCACTTTGGGAGGCAGAGGCAAGAGAATCACTTGAGCCCAGGAGTTCAAAACCACTCTGGGCCATATAGTGAGACCCTGTTTCTATTCTATATTTTAATATTTTAAATAAATAAATAAAGCCAAAATATAAAATCAACCTAAGTGCCCATCAACAGATGAATGGATAAAGAAAATGTCATACATATACACAATGGAATGCTATTCATCTTTGAAAGAGAAATTAATTCTGTCATTTGCAGCAACATAGATAAACTTGGATAACATTATGTTAAGTGAAATAAGCCAGGAACAGAAAGATAAATATTGCATGTTCTCACTCATATATGGAAGCTAAAATAGCTGATCTCATAAAACTATAAAGTAGAATAGTGATTACTAAAGGCTGAAAAGGTTTTAGAGAGGGGGGATAGCCAAAGGTTAGTTAATGGATACAAAAGAAAAGTTAGATAGCAGAGAAAAGTTCTAGCATTCTATGACACTACAGAGTGACTATAATTAACAATAATTTTTTGTATATTTTCAAAAAGCTAGAGGAGATTTTGACTCTTCCCAACAGAAAGAAATGATAAATGTTAAACATGATGAATATGCTAATTCCCAATTTGATAATCACACATTGCCTATATGTATTAAAATATCACACTGTGCCCCATAAATGTGCAATTATCATGTATCAATTTAAAATAATAATAAAAGAAAAAATTGGGTATTGTCAGCGTATAAATAGTATTCAAACTCATGGAAATATATGAGATCACTTATGAAGAGACTGTAGAGAGAGCTATAATATCTAGAATTTAGATAGAGAAGAAAGGGAGACTGAGAAGATGTGGTCATGGAGGGAGCATAAAAACCTGGAGTGCAAGTTGTCACAGAAGCCAAGAGAGGCCTACTCTTTAGGAGAAAAGGCCTTATCCTATGTGGGAGATGGATATGTTTCCCACTTCAGCCCCCACTGGCCTTCCTCTCTCACCTACAGGGGAAAAATGCTAAGAAACTTTTGTGAAGGAACACTGCCTACTAAAAGACAGGGTTTAAATCAGAAGACTATAGAACATTTCCACTCCTCCACACCTTATCACCACATATACAGGGCCGCAGTATAATAATAGTGGATCACAACTGAAAGAGCTTCAAGATGCCGACTGTCTCTGGAGAAGCCCTTAGGGAAGCCCAGATCAAAGGGGAAGGCAAAGTCAAGGACCCTAGAGGAATTTGAAGCCTTTAGCATCTTTGGCTTTAGCAAACGTTTAACAAAATCCAGCTCCTAATCAGATTTACATAAATCTTTATACTAACGTCTATTTATGTTAGTTCCTATTACACATCACTTCCAGCTTTTAACACATTTGAAAAATTACACGGCAGGCTAAAAGACAGAAAAAAAAAAAGAAAAGAAAAGAAACACAGTTGGAAGCAAGTATCACCACCAGACTCATTTATGACAGATATTTTGTTATCTGGGAATTTTTTTCTAAAATACATAAGATGTAAACATTACTTGAAATCATGCAGACATTAAGAGGATATGATGAACCACTTCCTATCAATCTATTTAAAAAATTAGATAAAGTGCATAAAATCAGAGTAAAACAAAATTAATTAAAACTCTTACAAGAAGAAATACCAAAATAAACAGTCCTGTAATTAAATTCATCATCCAAAATCTTCTGACAAGAAAACTCAAAATTCATGTGCCTTCACTGATAAACTCTTCTGACTAGGAAGAAATAGTTCCAATCTTACGTAAACTCTTCAAGGGAATAAAACAAGAGACAAAATTTCTCAACCTCTTTTGTGAGGGGAATATAATCTTGATATTGATGTTGACAAGGAAAGACATCACAAGCCAGTCATAAATATTGATACAAAATCCTAAACAAAATAATAACAGAGTCCAATAGTTCTTAATTTGGACGATAGTTACACTGAAACCACAATAAATTCACTTGGTTAATTCTTTAGAATGTACACTTATGATTTGTAAACTTATCTGGATATGTGTTATACTTCAATAGAAAGTTAAATAGAAAAAATTAGCTAAATTATCAACCTTCACTTTATCTCTTTGCCTAATTAGAAGGTTAGAGTACCATTTGGTTAAATTGCAATCACTTATGAATTAACATATTTTTACCCCTTTCTGGGGTCTTGTTCAGGACACTCTCTGGACATATATTTGCCACCTCAACTTCAGAATGCTAACTGAAAATGACATAAACAGAGATAAGCTGCCTCATTTTAGATGATTCACTAAGATTTTATCCATGCAGCAAGAAAAAAAAATCCGTAACAAAATTCTCTACACAGATGAGAAAATCCCCATCAATTTGCAAACTGTTTTTAATTTTAACCAGGGTGCTCTAGAAGGATAGCCTATGAGTAGCATGTAGAAAACAAAGTCACCATTGTCACTATAAAAGTTACAGCTCTAGGAATCACTCAAAATATAGTGTTCTTTTTCATAAAATGTTTCTATATTTTTTTGAATTCAAATCAGTGTCAATATGAGACAGTACTATCAAAAAATATTGATTGAATGTCACATGTGAATTGATGGAACATCATAGTATCAGACGCTGTGGAGAATACAAAACAAAAATAGTCCCAACCCTCAAATTAACTGTTTCAAAAGGAGAAAAAATATTCTTTTCATTTCAAAAAAAAGGCAGAGAATGATACAAGGCCAAGTTATAGCCAAGGACTATGTCTTAGTTATCTTTATGTTCTTCAGAGTTATTAGGTGTATGATTTTTACATCTGTGTTAGCAGACTACTAAATATTTACTGAATAAATTGCATTAATGAGTGTGCTATGGTCAAACGAGGACTATGTCCTCATTCCCCAAGCAACAGAGATCTTCATGAACCCAGTCCTTCAATAACTATTTGGTTGGTGCAAAAGGAATTGCCATTTTAATGCCAAAAAATTTTTTTTAATATTTTAAAAATCTGTACTCTTTTATAAATGTTCCTTAGTTTCTTCCCATACCATATGATTTTTTACATAGATATATTTGATATTTTCTTTCTACTTTTTAGAACAATGACTTTTTCTACCGCTGACCATTAATTTCTAATAGACAAAGTTTATTATGCTCACTTTTTTCCTTCTGTTTCTAACATTAAACTAATATTGAATTTTTTTTAACAATTCCATGCTCCTAGAACAGTCTGTGTTGATGCAAATAACTTTCTGTTAATCTTTTTTTTCTTTTTCTTATTTTGCTAGAAATGTCATTTTTTGGTAAAAGACAAATATTTTACCAAATTTTTTTGGTAAAAGGCAAATTTTACATTCACCTAAGAGCAAACAGAATTTCTGTTTTACCAGAAACCATTAGCCATTTGTAATTGGCTTCTTTCACTTAGCAAAATACTTTCAAAGTTCATCCATGTTACAGAATATATCAGTAATTCATACATTGCTGGTAGGAGTCTAAAATGGTGCAATAAATTTAGAAAACAGTTTAGCAATTTCTCAAAGTGTTAGAGTTACCATATGACCCAGCAATTCCACTCCAAAGTATATAATCCAGAGAAATAAAATATGTCCATACAAAAACCTGTATAATAATTTTCATAGGAGCATTATTCATAACAGCCCAATAATGGGAGCAACTCAAATGTCTGCCAACAGATGAACATTGACATGATATAACCAAAATTTGTTATATTTATAGAATGGAATCCATTTGTCTTTTGACTTTCTTTTCCCACATTTTTGGCTTTCAGTAGTTTTAAGAATTAAGAAGTTTTAAATAGCCAAATTTATCACTTTTTTCTACTTCCTTCTATTATGTCAAAGTTAGAAGGATTAATAAGTTTGTTGACCTATGGTTCTTATTTCTAAAACTGTTATAGTTTCATATTTAATTTATTATTATTTGTCCATAAGTTATTGGGCTACAGGTGGTATTTGGTTACATAAGTTCTTTAGTGGTTATTTGTGAGATTTTGATGCACCCATCATCCAGACAGTATACACTGCACCATATTTGTAGTCAAATCTCTCGCCTCCCTCCCACTCTTCCCTCCAAGTCTCCAAAGTCCATTGTATCATTCTTATCCCTTTGCATCTTCATAACTTAGTTCCCACATATCAGTGAGAACATATGATGTTTGATTTTTCATTCCTGAGTTACGTCACTTAAAGAACGAAAGAATTAATAGTTTCTAATTTCATCCAGGTCACTGCAAATACTGTTAATTCATTCCTTTCTATGGCTGTGTAGTATTCCATTGTATGTGTGTGTGTGTGTGTGTATATATATATAGAGAGAGAGTATATATGTATATATAGAGTATATATGTATGTATATAGTATATAGAGAGTATATATGTATATATATATACACACACAGACACATACCACAGTTTCTTTATACACTCATTTATTTTTTATTTTTTATTATTATACTTTAAGTTCTAGGGTACATGTGCACAATGTGCAGGTTTGTTACATATGTATACATATGCCATGTTGGTGTAGTGCACCCATTAACTCATCATTTACATTAGGTATATCCCTTAATGCTAACCCTCCCCCCTCCCCCCACCCTACAATAGGCCCTGGTCTGTGATATTCTCCACCCTGTGTCCAAATGTTCTCATTGTTCAATTCCCACCTATGAGTGAGAACGTGTGGTGTTTGTTTTTCTGTCCTTGCCATAGTGTGTTCAGAATGATGGTTTCCAGCTTCATCCATGTCCCTACAAAGGACATGAACTCATCCTTTTTTATGGCTGCATAGTATTCCATGGTGTATATGTGACACATTGTCTTAATCTAGTCTATCATTGATGGACATTTGGGTTGGTTCCAAGTCTTTGCTATTGTGAATAGTGCCACAGTAAACATACACGTGCATGTGTCTATACAGCAGCATGATTTATAATCTTTTGGGTATATGCCCAGTAATGGGATGGCTGGGTCAAATGGTATTTCTAGCTTTAGATCCTTGAGGAATCGCCACAGTGTCTTCCACAAGGCTAAACTAATTTACCCTCCCACCAACAGTGTAAAAGCGTTTCTATTTCTCCACATCCTCTCCAGCATCTGTTGTTTCCTGACTTTTTAATGATTGCCATTCTAACTGGTGTGAGATGGTATCTCATTGTGGTTTTGATTTGCATTTCTCTGATGGCCAGTGATGATGAGCATTTTTTCATGTGTCTGTTGCCTGTATGAATGTCTTCTTTTGAGAAGGGTCTGTTCATATCCTTCACCCACTTTTTGATGGGGTTTTTTCTTGTAAATTTGTTAAAGCTCTTTGTGGATTCTGCATATTACTCCCTTGTCACATGGGTAGATTGTAAAAATTTTCTCCCATTCTGTAGGGTGCCTGTTCACTCTCATGGTAGTTTCTTTTGCTGTGCAGAAGCTCTTTAGTTTAATTAGATCCCATTTGTCTATTTTTGCTTCTGTTGCCATTGCTTTTGGTGTTTTAGTCATGAAGTCCTTGCCCCTGCCTATGTCCTGAATGGTATTGCCTAGGTTTTCTTCTAGAGTTTTTATGGCTTTAGGTCTAACATTTAAGTCTTTAATCCATCTTGAATTAATTTTTGTATAAGGTGTAAGGAAGGAATCCAGTTTCAGCTTTCTACATATGGCTAGCCAGTTTTCCCAGAACCATTTATTAAATAGGGAATCCTTTCCCCATTGCTTGTTTTTGTCAGATTTGTCAAAGATCAGATGGTTGTGGACGTGTGGTATTATTTCCGAGGGCTCTGTTCTGTTCCATTGGTCTGTATCTCTGTTTTGGTACCAGTAGCATGCTGTTTTGGTTACTGTAGCCTTGTAGTATAGTTTGAAGTCCTGTAGCGTGATGCTTCCAGCTTTGTTCTTTTGGCTTAGGATTGTCTTGGCAATGTGGGCTCTTTTTTGGTTCCATATGAACTTTAAAGTAGTTTTTTCCAGTTCTGTGAAGGAAGTCATTGGTAGCTTGATGGGGAAGGCATTGAATCTAAAAATTACCTTGGGCAGTATGGCCATTTTCATGATATTGATTCTTCCTATCCATGAGCATGGAATGGTCTTCCATTTGTTTGTGTCCTCTTTTGTTTTGTTGAGCAGTGGTTTATAGTTCTCCTTGAAGAGGTCCTTCACATCCCTTGTAAGTTGGATTCCTAGGTATTTTATTTTCTTTGAAGCAATTGTGAATGGGAGTTCACTCATGATTTGGCTGTTTCTTATTGGTGTATAGGAATGCTTGTGATTTTTGCACATTGATTTTGTATCCTGAAACTTTGCCGAAGTTGCTTATCAGCTTAAGGAGATTTGGGGCTGAGACGATGGGGTTTTCTAAATATACAATCATGTCATCTGCAAACAGGCACAATTTTACTTCCTCTTTTCCTAATTGAATACACTTCATTTCTTTCTCTTGCTTGATTGCCCTGGCCAGAACTTCCAACACCATGTTGAATAGGAGTGGTGAGAGAGGGCATCCCTGTCTTGTGCCAGTTTTCATATGGAATGCTTCCAGTTTTTGCCCATTCAGTATGATATTGGCTGTGGGTTTGTCATAAATAGGGCTTATTATTTTGAGATACATCCCATCAATACCTAGTTTATTGAGAGTTTTTAGCATGAAGGCCTGCTGAATTTTGTCAAAGGCCTTTTCTGCATCTATTGACATAGTCATGTGGTTTTTGTCTTTGGTTCTGTTTATATGATGGATTCCATTTATTGATTTGCTTATGTCAAACCAGCCTTGCATCCCAGAGATGAAGTCAACTTGATCATGGTGGATAAGCTTTTTGATGTGCTGCTGGATTTGGTTTGCCAGTATTTTATTGAGGATTTTTACATTGATGTTCACCAGGAATATTGGTCTAAAATTCTCTTTTTTTGTTGTGTCTCGGCCAGGCTTTGGTATGAGGATGATGTTGGCCTCATGAAATGAGTTAGGGAGTATTCCCTCTTTTTCTATTGATTGGAATAGTTTCAGAAGGAATGGTACCAGCTCCTCTTTGTACCTCTGGTAGAATTAGGCTGTGAATCCGTCTGGTCCTGGACTTTTTTGGGTTGGTAGGCTATTAATTATTGCCTCTATTTCAGAGCCTGTTATTGGTCTATTCAGGGATTCAACGTCTTCCTGGTTTAGTGTTGGGAGGGTATATGTGTCCAGGAATTTATCCATTTCTTCTAGATTTTCTAGTTTATTTGCATAGAGGTGTTTATAGTATTCCTGATGGTAGTTTGTATTTCTGTGGGATCGGTGGTGATATCCCCTTCATCATTTTTTATTGTGTCTATTTGATTCTTCTCTCTTTTCTTCTTTATTAGTCTTGCTAGCGGTCTATCAATTTTGTTGATCTTTTCAAAAAACCAGCTCCTGGATTCATTGATTTTTTGAAGGGTTTTTTGTGTCTCTATCTCCTTCAGTTCTGCTCTGATCTTAGTTATTTCTTGCCTTCTGCTAGCTTTTGAATGTGTTTGCTCTTACTTCTCTATTTCTTTTAATTGTGATGTTAGGGTGTCAATTTTAGATCTTTCCTGCTTTCTTTTGTGGGCATTTAGTGCTATAAGTTTCCCTCTACACACTGCTTTAAATTTATCCCAGAGATCCTGATATGTTATGTCTTTGTTCTCGTTGGTTTCAAAGAACATCTTTATTTCTGCCTTCATTTCGTTATGTACCCAGTAGTCATTCAGGAGCAGGTTGTTCAGTTTCCATGTAGTTGAGCCGTTTTGAGTGAGTTTCTTAATCCTGAGTTCTAGTTTGATTGCAGTGTGGTCTGAGAGACAGTTTTTTGTAATTTCTGCTCTTTTACATTTGCTGAGGAGTGCTTTACTTCCAAATATGTGGTCAATTTTGGAATAAGTGTGATGTGGTGCTGAGAAGAATGTATATTCTGTTGATTTGGGGTGGAGAGTTCTGTAGATGCCTATTATGTCTGCTTAGTGCAGAGCTGAGTTCAATACCTGGATATCCTTGTTAACTTTCTGTCTCTTTGATCTGTCTAATGTTGACATGGGGTGTTAAAATCTCCCATTATTATTATGTGGGAGTCTACGTCTCTTTGTAGGTCTCTAAGGACTTGCTTTATGAATCTGGGTACTCCTGTATTGGGTGCATATATATATTTAGGATAGTTAGCTCTTTTTGTTGAATTGATCCCTTTACTTATGTAATGGCCTTCTTTGTCTCTTTTGATCTTTGTTGGTTTAAAGTCTGTTTTATCAGAGACTAGGATTGCAACTCCTGCTTTTTTTTGTTTTCCATTTGCTTGGTAGATCTTCCTTCATCCCTTTATTTTGAGCTTATGTGTGTCTCTGCACATGAGATGGGTCTCCTGAGTACAGCACACTGATGGGTCTTGACTCTTTATCCAATTTGCCAGTCTGTGTCTTTTAATTGGGGCATTTAGCCCATTTACATTTAAGGTTAATATTGTTATGTGTGAATTTGATCCTGTCATTATGATTTTAGCTGGTTATTTTGCCCATTAGTTAATGCAGTTTCTTCTTAGCATCAATGGTCTTTACAATTTGGCATGTTTTTGCAATGGCTGGTACTGGTTTTCCCTTTCCATGTTTAGTGCTTCCTTCAGGAGCTCTTGTAAGGCAGGCCTGGTGGTGACAAAATCTCTCAGCATTTGTTTGTCTGTAAAGGATTTTATTTCTCCTTCACTTATGAAGCTTAGTTTGGCTGGATATGAAATTCTGGGTTGAAAATCCTTTTCTTTAAGAATGTTGAATACTGGCCTCCACTCTCTCCTGGCTTTAAGAGTTTCTGCCAAGAAATCCGCTGTTACTCTGATGGGCTTCCCTTTGTGGGTAACCTGACCTTTCTCTCTGGCTGCCCTTAACATTTTTCCCTTCATTTCGACTTTGGTGAATCTGACAATTATGTGTCTTGGAGTTGCTCTTCTCAAGGAGTATCTTTGTGGAGTTCTCTGTATTTCCTGAATTTGAATGTTGGCCTGCCTTGCTAGGTTGGGGAAGTTCTCCTGGATAATATCCTGAAGAGTGTTTTCCAACTTGGTTCCATTCTCCCCATCACTTTCAGGTACACCAATCAGACATAGATTTGGTCTTTTCACATAGTCCCATATTTCTTGGAGGCTTTGTTTCTTTTTACTCTTTTTTCTCTAAACTTCTCTTCTTGCTTCATTTCATTCATTTGATCTTCAATCACTGATACCCTTTCTTCCACTTGATCAAATTGGCTACTGAGGCTTGTGCATGCATCATGTAGTTCTCGTGCCATGGTTTTCAGCTCCATCAGGTCATTTAAGGTCTTCTTTACACTGTTTATTCTACTTAGCCATTCGTCTAATCTTTTATCAAGGTTTTTAACTTTTTTGCGATAGGTTCGAATGTCCTCCTTTAGCTGGGAGGAGTCTGTAAATAGCAATCGTCTGAAGCCTTCTTCTCTCAACTTGTCAAAGTCATCTCCGTCCAGCTTTGTTCAGTTGCTGGTGAAGAGCTGTTTTCCTTTGGAGGAGAAGAGACACTCCGATTTTTAGAATTTTCAACTTTTCTGCTCTGGTTTCTCCCCATCTTTGTGGTTTTATCTACCTTTGGTCTTTGATGATGGTGACGTACAGATGGGGATTTGGTGTGGATGTCCTTTCTGTTTGTTAGTTTTCCTTCTAACAGTCAGGACCCTCAGCTGCAGGTCTGTTGGAGTTTCCTGGAGGTCGACTCCAGACCCTGTTTTCCTGGGTATCACCAGCAGAGGCTGCAGAACAGCAAATATTGCAGAATGGCAGACGTTGCTGCCTGATCCTTCCTCTGGAAGCTTTGTCTCAGAGGGGCACCTAGCTCTATGAGGTGTCAGTCATCCCCTACTGGGAGGTGTCTCCCAGTTAGGCTACTCAGGGGTCAGTGACCCACTTGAGGAGGCAGTCTGTCCATTCTCAGATCTCAAACTCCATGCTGTGAGAACCACTACTCTCTTCAAAGCTGTCAGACAGGGACGTTTAAGTCTGCAGAAGTTTCTGCTGCCTTTTGTTCAGCTATGCCCTGCCCCCAGAAGTGGAGTCTACAGAGGCAGGCAGGCCTCCTTGAGCTGCAGTGGTTTCCACCCAGTTTGAGCTTCCCAGCTGCTTTGTTTACCTACTCAAGCCTCAGCAATGGTGGACGCCCCTCCCCCAGCCTCGCTGCCACCTTGCAGTTCAATCTCAGACTGCTGTGCTAGCAGTGAGCAAGGCTCTGTGGGCGTGGGACCCTCCAATCCAGGTGTGGGATATAATCTCCTGGTGTGCCATTTGCTAAGACCATTGGAGAAGCACAGTATTAGGGTGGGAGTGTCCCAATTTTCCAGGTACCATCTGTCATGGCTTCCCTTTGCTGGGAAAGGGAATTCCCTGACCTCTTGCATTTCCCGGGTGAGGTGATACCCCACCTTGCTCCATAGGCTGCACTCACTATCTGACAAGCCCCAGTGAGACGAACCCGGTACCTCAGTTGGAAATGCAGAAATTACCCATCTTCTGTATTGCTCACGCTGAGAGGTGCGGACTGGAGCTGTTCCTATTTGGCCATCTTGGAACCTCCGCCACTCATTGTTGATTGATGGCATTTGGGTTGGTTCCATGATTTTGCGATTGTGAATTGTGCTGCTATAAACATGCATGTGCAAGTATCTTTTTTGAATAATGACTTCTTTTCCTCTCAATAGATACCCTGTAGTGGGTACTGCTGGATCAAATGGTAGTTCTACTTTTAGTTCTTTAAGGAATCTCCACACAGTTTTCTAGTTTACATTCTGTATTAGTTTACATTCCATACTAGTTTACATTCCCACCAGCAGTGTAGAAGTATTCCCTGTTCACCACATCCACACAAACATCTACTTTTTAAAATTTGTTTTATTATGGCCATTCTTGCAGGAGTATAGTGGTATCACATTGTGGTTTTGATTTGCATTTACCTGATCACTAGTAATGTTGAGCATTTTTTCAGATGTTTGTTGGCCATTTGTATATCTTCCTATTCATGTCCTTAGCCCATTTTTTGATAGGATTGTTTGTTTTCTTACTAATTTGAGTTCATTATAGCTTCTGGATATGAGTCCTTTGTCAGATGTATAGATTGTGAAGATTTTCTCCATTCTCGCTGCTTGTTATTGTTCTCTTCAGGTTATGTAATTCTTCTTGATTTGTGCTGGAAGGGTTGTATTTTTCCAGGAATTTATCCATCTCTTCTAGGTTTTCTAGTTTATGTGCTTAAAGGTGTTCATAGTCACCTTGAATGATCTTTTGTATTTCAGTGGTGTCAGTCATTTCTTCGTGAGGTTATTTGGATTTTTTCTCTTCTTGGTTAATCTTGCTAATGGTCTATCAATTTTACTTATCTTTTCAAAGAACCAGCTTTTCATTTCATTTATCTTTTGTATTTTTTAGTTTCAATTTCATTTAGTTCTGATCTGATGTTGGTTATTTCCTTTCTTCTGCTGGTTTTGGGTTCGGTTTGTTCTTGTTTCTCTATTTCCTTGAGGTGTAACCTTAGACTGTGTGCTTTCAGACTTTTTGATGTAGGTGTTTAGGGCTATGAACTTTCCTTATAGCACTGTCTTTGCTGTACCCCAGAGGTTTTGATAGATTGTATCACTATTGTCATTCAGTTCAAATAATTTTTTAAATTTCCATCTTGATTGTCTTTTTATCAAATACTCATTCTGGAGCAGGTTATTTAATTTCCATGTATTTGCATGACTTTGAAGGTTCCTTTTGGAGTTGATTTCAAGTTTTACTCCACTGTGGTCTGAGAGAGTGCTTGATGTAATTTCTTTTTTTTTTTTTTTTTTTTTGAGACGGAGTCTTGCTCTGTCGCCCAGGCCGGACTGTGGACTGCAGTGGCGCAATCTCAGCTCACTGCAAGCTCCGCTTCCCGGGTTCACGCCATTCTCCTGCCTCAGCCTCCCAAGTAGCTGGGACTACAGGCGCCCGCCACAGCGCCCGGCTAATTTTTTGTATTTTTAGTAGAGACGGGGTTTCACCTTGTTAGCCAGGATGGTCTAGATCTCCTGACCTCATGATCCACCCGCCTCGGCCTCCCAAAGTGCTAGGATTACAGGCGTGAGCCACCGCGCCCGGCCGATGTAATTTCAATTTTCTGAAATTTACTGAGGCTCATTTTATTGTCTATCATATGGTCTTTCCTGGAGAAAGTTCCAGAACTGTTGAATAGAATGTATATTCTGTGGTTGTTGGATGAAATGTTCTGTATATATCTGTTAATTCCATTTGTTCCAAGGTATAGTTCAAATCCATTGTTTGTTGACTTTCTGTCTTGATGAAGTATTTAGTGCTGCCAGTGGAGTATTGAAGTCCCCCACTATTATTGTGTTGCTGACTGTCTCATTTCTTAGGTCTATTAGTAATTGTTTTATAAATTTGGGAGCTCCAGTGTTAGGTGCGTATGTGTTTAGGTTTGTGATATTTTCCTGTTGGACAAGGCCTTTTATCATTATATACTGTCCTTCTTTGTCTCTTTTAACTGCTGTTGCTTGAAAGTTCATTTCTCTGATATAAGAATAGCTACCCCTGCTCGCTTTTGGTGTCCATTTGCATGAAATGCCTTTTTCCATCCCTTTACTTTATGTGAGTTCTTAATGTGTTAGGTGAGTCTCCTGCAGGCAGCAGATGGTTGGTGAGTTCTTATCCATTCTGCTGTTCTGTATCTTTTAAGTGGAGAATTTAGGTCATTTACATTCAATGTTAGTATTGAAATATGAGGTAGCCTTGCTTTCATTGTGCTCTTTGTTGCCTATGTATTTTTTTTTTGTTTTTGTCCTTTTTTTTTTTTTTTTTTTGCTTTTTAACTTGTATTTTTGTTTTATAGATCCTCTGTGATTTATGCTTTAAAGAGGTTCTGTTTTGATGTGTTTACAGGATTTTTTTCCCAAGATTTAGAGCTCCTTTTAGCAGTTCTTGTAGTGATGGCTTGGTAATGGTGAATTCTCTCAGCATTTGTTTGTCTGAAAATGACTGTATCTTTCCTTCACATATGATGCTTAGTTTCACTGGATACAAAATTCTTCGCTGATAATTGTTTTGTTTGAGGAGGCTGAAGATGGGTCCCCAATCCCTTCTAGCTTGTAGATTTTCTGCTGAGAAGTCTGCTGTTAATCTGATAGGTTTTTCTTTATAGGTTCCCTGGCACTTCTGTCTCACAGCTCTTAAGATTCTTTCCTCTGTCTTAATTTTGGCTAACCTGATGACAATGTGCCTAGGCAATGATGATCCTTTTGCAATGAATTTCCCAGGTGCTCTTTGTGCTTCTTGTATTTGGATGTCTATGTCTCTAGCAAGGCTGGGAAAGTTTTCCTCAATTATCCCCCCAAATACGTTTTCCAGGCTTTTAGAATTCTTTTATTCCTCAGGAACAATGATTATTCTTAGGTTTGGTTGTTTAACATAATCCCAGACTTCTTGGAGGCTTTGTTCATATTTTCTTATTTTTTGTCTTTGTTGGATTGGATTAATCCAAAGACCTTGTCTTTGAGCTCTGAACTTCTTTCTTCTACTTGTTCAATTCTATTGTTAAGACTTTCCAGAGCATTTTACATTTCTAAAAGTGTCCAAAGTTTCCTGAATTTTTTCTATTGTTTTTGCTTTAAGCTATCTATTTCCTTGAATATTTCTCCCTTCACTACTTGTATCATTTTTTGAATTTCCTCACATTGGGCTTTGCCTTTCTCTGTTCCTTCCCTGATTCACTTAATAACTAACCTCCTGAATTCTTTTTCAACTATCTCAGGGATTTCTTCTTGGTTTGGATCCAGTGCTGGTGAACTAGTGTGATTTTTGAGGGGTGTTGATGAGCCTTGTTTTGTCATATTACTAGGGTTGGTTTTCTGGTTCCTTCTCATTTGGGTGGGCTCTGTCAGAGGGAAGGTCTAGGGCCGAAGGCTGTTGTTCAGATCATTTTGTCCCATGGGGTGTTTCCTTGATGTAGTACTCTCCCTTTATCCTGTGGATGTGGCTTCCTGTGAGCTGAACTGCGGTGATTATTGTCTCTCTTCTGGGTCTAACCATCCAGCGAGTCTACCTAACTCTGGACTGATACTGGCCATTGTCGGCATAGATTCCTGTAATGTGAACCATCTATGGGTCTCTCAGCCATGGATACCAGCACCTGTTCTCGTTGAGGTGGCGAAGGGCACGATGGACTCTGTGAGGGTCCTTAGCTTTGGTGGTTTAATGCTCTATTTTTGTGCTGCTTGGCCTCTTGCCCAGAGGTGGCATTTTCCAGAACAGCTATAGTGTGGAGAGGGATGGGCAGTGGGCGGGGCCCTAGAACTCCCAAGATTATACGCCCTTTGTCTTCCACTACCAGGGTGGGTAGGGAAGGACCATCAGGTGGGGGCAGGGCTAGGCATGTCTAAGCTCAGAGTCTCCTTGTATAGGTTTTGCTGTGGCTGCTGTGGAGGATGGGGGACAGGTTCCCAGGTCACTGGAGTTGTGTACCTAGGAGGATTGTGGCTGCCTCTGCCTAGTCATGAAGGTTGTCAGGGAAGTAGGGGAAAGCCAGCAGTCACAGGCCTCACCCAGCTCCCATGCAAACTGAAGGGCCAGTCTCACTCCCACCATGCCCCCAACAACAGCCCCGAGTCTATTCCCAGGTGGCGGGTGAGAGGGGCTTGAAAACTTGCCAGATTTCTGCCTCCCAGCTGCAAAAGAAAAGGGCTTTAGTTCTTCCCCTGCTTGTGAACTCTGCAAGCGGGATTGGCGCCCTCCCCCAAGTTCTGGCCAGGAGGCTTCTCGCCTGGTTCAAGTTGTTACAAAGTTCAGCTACAGAATTCCTTCTCCCTTTGGAGTTTTGCCCCCGTTCCTCTGGCCACCCTCCTGATGGATCCCTGTGGTGCCAGGCAGGAATGGGCTGCTTGGGGACCCAGTAAGCTCCCAGGGCCTTTCTGCTGCTTCCTCTACCCCTGTATTTCACTTGGCTCGGCTCTCTAACTTGACTTGGCTCCAGGTAAACTCGGCAACTTCTCCTGCAAACGGACCTGGACCTTCAGCTTCTCCAATGGAGGTATGTGCTCGGGAGAGGAGGGTCTCCTTTTCCCACTTCCGCAGCTGGGGTGCTCACAGAATTTGGGGTGTCTCCGCGTCCTGCAGCAGCAGTCCACTTCCTTCAGAGGGTCTGTGGGTCCTCTGGGGATTGCTGGTTTGTTCTTGCAGTAACATTTAATTTTTTATGAAGCTAAGTTTTATTTTGTAATATGTGGTAATGATCAATTTATCAGTAATATTTATTGAATGATCTTCCTTTTTCTCATTAATTTGAAAAGCCACTCACAGTAAAAATCTTCCAGGTATATTTGTGTCTTATGCTGGACTCACTCCATACCGTCATGTTTCCATTAAGATCACATTGAATTCATAAAATCACTTAGTGGGAATTGGCATGTCTATTATATTAAAATTTCCTATTTGAAAGTATTTCTACTTACTAATAATTTACTTTATGTCCCTCAATGATTTAAGGTTTTCTTTATTTAGAACTTGCCTGTGACATATTATAGTTACGTTATAAATGAAAGAGAGACGAGATTGTGGGATGCTATCTTCCTTTATTTCCAACTCCAATCTAGCTGTCACTTGTAAGATGCATATTCTGAAGTCAGTGGGAAGCTTGGTGGAAGTAGGTTCCTGAGTTATAGAAATTGGAGTATCTATTCTGCTTTCCTTTGCATTGGGCAAGAGGCTAGAGATTAACCTAGACAAAATTGGAGGAAAGTGAATCCAGAAGAAAAATGTAAGGACTTGGGGCATATATTAACAAATTAGAAAAAAAGAACAATAATGCAAATAAAAGTAACTTAGGAAAGGGGAATCATTGAAAATGTAGCTGAAACAAATGAAATAGAAAAAAAGACAAAAGATAAAAATATAAGAAGTACCCATTTTAAGATGTAAAGCATAGAAATAAACCAAAATAAATTACAAAAAGGCAATTATTGATGAAAGTGAAATAAATAAAGTATAAAAGAACTTGGTTATTATTAAAGCTAAAGAAAATAAGTTCTTCAAGGTATGATTAGAGTAAAAAGATGAAAAATATGATTAGAAATGAGAATGTGGCATAATCATAGATAAATGAGAAATTTTTTTCTTAGAGAATAAAATATGCATGTCCATTGCAAACAAACTTTGAAACTTGGAGAAAATGAATGTTATTCTAGAAAACCATAATTATTCAAATTGACTCATAAATGAAAAAACATTTTTAATTGCTACGTTAGCATCTTCAAAGGTAATTAAACATGTACTATTTTAAAAGTCACCACAATAATGCACATTTGTAAGTATTTCATCGTATGTATTAAGAACAGATTATTTCAGTGTTACTTATTCCAGACCACAGAAAAAGGTGAGTGCTTCTCAATTCATTTTATTAACTCAGCATAGCATTAGCAGAAGAAAATAAAACTATGGACCAATTTCACTAAATGCCTGTAGGGGGGAGAAAAAGGTAAATATTAGCAAATATAATCAAACAATGTACCAAAATATATATTATTACTAAGTTAGGAATGTTCTAAGAATACCAAGGTTATTCAATACTAGGAAATTTATCAACATAATGCAAAATCAAAAAATAAACTAAAGGAAAATATTTTTTGATTAATCAATACTAAAATGTCATCAGATAGTTACAAATAAGACATCCAATCAAATTCAACAGACATAATTGTTTTATTGTTTATAAGAAAATTAGAAAACAGAAACTAAAAACTGGAATAAAATACTAAAATTTAATAAAGCCTAGTTTGAAACCAAAAGCACATAGTATTCCTAGTGGTGAAACACTAAAACCTCTTCAATTAAAATCAGAACTTGACAAGGATGCCTAGTATAACTATTATTATTTGCCATATTCTTGAGAAGGTCCAAGCAAATGCAATGAGATAAAAATAATCAATACTCATAGTAGAAAAGAAGATACAAATCTATTTTTGTTGGTTGTATAACTTTAATGAGAAAAATTTGTACGAGACAAAAAATAAAAATCGGTAGCTTTTCTTAATAGCACAGCTGTATGTAAACATAAAACAACTTTACTTTGTCTTCCATTCTCCCTTTAAATTTGTTCAATGGTGTTAATTATCCTTTTTCCCCTCAAATGAAAGTTCAGACATGGTCATTCCT